>NC_000011.10:50060000-50212269 GCF_000001405.40 Homo sapiens
ACACCTTTAACTCAAAGACTCCCTGTCAGTCTTGACAAAATTTACTTAGAGATACATTGTAACCTAGAACCTACCTTTCTTTTTTTCCCCTCCCTCTCTCCTTCATAGGAGTTATACCTGAATTATTCCTGGTAGCTTCTCCCACCTTCCTTCACTAGTTTTTCCCCAATAAATCTCTTGCATATTTATCTTAGTAGCTGCATAGTATTTCCAAACTAGTGTCTGCTTTTCACAGAACCGGGACTGATACAGAATATATAAGGAACTACCTTATAAGATAAACAAGATAAAGACAGACTACCATGTGAGACTTAAACAAGCACTTCAGAAAAGATGGAAAGTAAACATGTAAGAAAGTTGGGGGGTGGTTCACCTCTTAGTTATCCTGAAAAAAATATGTAAAACCACAATAAAATACCACAGCAATGCTCTCTCCACATGGCTAAAATTAAAGACTGTCAATACCCAGTATTTGTTGTCAATATAGAGGAGTGGTATCTCTCATGCCTGCTGGTAGAAATGTGCATTTGTTGTTTAAGTGTATGTTGGAAAACTATTGGATATTATCTACTAATGTTGAATATATGTATATATATGTATGTGTATATGTGTATATATATGCCATGACTCAGACTCCACTCTTAGGTAGAAATCCAAAACAAAAGTGTGCATTTGTACATTGGAAGACACATCATCAAGAGTGTTAATAAAGCATTATTTGTAACAGCACAAAATTGGTAACAAGCCAAATGTTCATCAATAATAGAATGGATTTAAAAAGTGATGGTATAGGCACAGTGGCTCACACCTGTAATCCCAGCACTTGGGGAGGCTGAGGTAGGAGGATCTCTTGAGGTCAGGAGTTCGAGACCAGCCTAGGCAATATAGAGAGACCCTGTCTCTCTCTCGCTCTTTTTTTTTAAAGAGGTGTTTGGGAAATTCTACTATGTAGATGTCCACTGCTGAAGGGCTGTCTTGGGTCGTAACCAAGATGCATGGCCTGAGAGCCTGTGATGATTATTTGTGTTTGTGCAAACTCCAGAGCAGCCCAAGCTCCTGGACAAAGAGACACTCCACTCTGTTTTTAACTGACTTGATCAGACATATGAGGAGATACAGGTCATTGTCTCCAGCATCAAAGGAATGAACCAAGATGTTGATTTTGAAGAGCCAACACTTTCCCAACAAGCCTCCACAGTGTGACCTCACAGGGTCTCTACCGGCATGGCACTGAGTCTCAGAATTAAGGCATGTGAGGCTGGGCCACATTCTAGCAGAGGTGCCACTCAAAACACGGCCTGGAGTAATCAAAAGATGTTGATGTAGCAGCTCCTCACCAGATGTCTTGCTCCCACTATTGCCCCTCCATGTCCAATCTCTTGACAAGCAGCTGGAATGTTCTTTTTAGTGTTTTTGTTTTGTTTTGTTTTTTCTTTGAGACGGAGTCTTGCTCTGTCACCCAGGCTGGAGTGCAGTGGCATGATCTCTGCTCACTGCAACCTCTGCCTCCTGGGTTCAAGCAATTCTCACGCCTCAGCCTCCTGATTAGCTGGGATTACAGGCGACTGCCACCATGCCTGGCTAATTTTTGTATTTTGTAGTAGAGACAATGTTTCACCATGTTGGCCAGACTGGACTTGAACTCCTGACCTCATGTGATCCACCCACCTCAGCCTCCCAAAGTCCTGGAATTACAGGCATGAGCCACCACACCCTGTTTTTGTGTTTTGTTTTGTTTTTAGCTATAAGGTCTAGCTTTGTCCCTCAGCCTGCAGTGCAGTGGTGCAACCATGGCTCACTGCAGCCTCTGTCTCCTGGGCTCAAGTGATTCTGCCCCCTCAGCCTCCTGAGGAGGTGGGACTACAGGCCCATGCCACCACATCTAATGGAGTTTTACTCTTGCTGTCCAGGTTGGAATGTAATGGCCTGATCTCAGCTCAGCCTCCCAAAGTGCTGGGATTACAAACATAAGCCACCATGTCTGGACTCTTTTAGCTATTTTTAATAAAAATTTTAAATATAAATTATTGTTTACTACAGACATCCAGTTTTGCTACCAAATACTACATCTTATTCATTCTAACTGTATTTTTGTACCCATTAATCACTCACTACAAACTCTGCCTCCTAGGTTCAAGCAATTCTCCTGTCTCAGCCTCCCAAGTAGCTGGGACTACAGGCATTCGCCACCACATTGGCTAATTTTTGTATTTTTAGTAGGTATGGGGTTTCACCATGTTGGCCAGACTGGTCTTGAATTGCTGACCTCAGGTGATCTTCCCCCCTCCACCTCCCAAAGTGCTGGGATTATAGGCATGAGCCACTGCACCTGGCACACCTGGTTCATTTTTTAAATGTTATTTTTGCAGAGACAGGGGTCTCAGTATGCTGCCCAGGCTGGTCTCAAAATGCTACCCTAAGATAATCCTTCCCCTTCAGCCTCCCAAAGTCCTGGGATTAGAGTTATGAATCACCGTGCCTAGCCTCATTCTCTTTTAATTAGCACAGTTTCAATTTCTTATTATAGAAATACCATCAAATAGAAAATGTCAATTTTTTTTTTTTTTTTTTTATTGATCATTCTTGGGTGTTTCTCGCAGAGGGGGATTTGGCAGGGTCATAGGACAATAGTGGAGGGAAGGTCAGCAGATAAACAAGTGAACAAAGGTCTCTGGTTTTCCTAGACAGAGGACCCTGGGGCCTTCTGCAGTGTTTGTGTCCCTGGGTACTTGAGATTAGGGAGTGGTGATGACCCTTAACGAGCATGCTGCCTTCAAGCATCTGTTTAACAAAGCACATCTTGCACCGCCCTTAATCCATTTAACCCTGAGTGGACACAGCACATGTTTCAGAGAGCACTGGGTTGCGGGTAAGGTCATAGATCAACAGCATCCCAAGGCGGAAGAGTTTTTCTTAGTACAGAACAAAATGGAGTCTCCTATGTCTACTTCTTTCTACACAGACACAGCAACAATCTGATTTCTCTGTCTTTTCCCTACATTTCCCCCTTTTCTATTCGACACAACTGCCATCATCATCATGGCCCATTCTCAATGAGCTGTTGGGTACACCTCCCAGATGGGGTCGTGGCCGGGCAGAGGTGCTCCTCACATCCCAGACGGGGTGGCGGGGCAGAGGCACTCCCCACATCTCAGACGATGGGCGGCCGGGCAGAGATGCTCCTCACTTCCTAGATGGGATGGCGGCCGGGAAGAGGCACTCCTCACTTCCTAGACTGGGCAGCCGGGCAGAGGGGCTCCTCACATCCCAGACGGGGCGGCGGGTCAGAGGCGCTCCCCACATCTCAGATGATGGGCGGCTGGGCAGAGACGCTCCTCACTTCCTAGACGGGGTGGCGGCCGGGCAGAGGCTGCAATCTCGGCACTTTGGGAGGCCAAGGCAGGTGGCTGGGAGGTGGAGGTTGTAGCGAGCCGAGATCATGCCACTGCACTCCAGCCTGGGCAACATTGAGCACTGAGTGAACGAGACTCCATCTGCATTCCCGGCACCTTGGGAGGCCGAGGCTGGCAGATCACTCCCGGTTAGGAGCTGGAGACCAGCCCGGCCAACACAGCGAAACCCCGTCTCCACCAAAAAAATATGAAAACCAGTCAGGCGTGGCGGTGCGCGCCTGCAATCGCAGGCACTCTGCAGGCTGAGGCAGGAGAATCAGGCAGGGGGGTTGCAGTGAGCAGAGATGGCAGCAGTACAGTCCAGCTTCGGCTTGGCATCAGAGGGAGACCATGGAAAGAGAGGGAGAGGGAGACCGTGAGGAGAGGGAGAGGGAGAGGGAGAAGGAGAGGGAGAGGAAGAGGGAGAGGGAGAGGGAGAGCGAAAATGTCAATGTTAAGCAGGATTTTCATGTAAAGGTGGCAAATCACAAAATCTCCCTTCCTTGATACGTATTCATTCTTTTTTGTTATTTTTATTTATTTAAATTTTTAGATGGAGTCTCACTCTGTCACCCAGGCTGGAGTGTAAGGGCACAATCTTGGCTCACTGCAACTTCTGCCTCCCAGATTCAACTAGTTCTCCTCCCTCAGCCTCCCGTGTAACTGGGATTACAGGTGTGCACCACCATGTCCAGCTAATTTTTGTATTTTTAGCAGGTATGAGGTTTCACCATGTTGGCCAGGCTTGTCTTGATCTCCTAACCCGAGGTGAAACACTTGCCTCAGCCTCCCAAAGTGCTGGGATGACAGGCTTGAGCCACTGCACCCGGCCCCTTGATACTTATTCATTCTAATGACATTTATTTTGTGCCTACTATGTGCCAAGTACTATATTAGGTTCTGAGAATGAATAAGATGGGACTCCTGCAATAGGGAGCCACTGTTCTGATTCGGCATGAGTTTGAGAGGAGGACATGCAGACAAGCAATTCAGTAAATAGCAAGCTGAGTTTTGAGAGTGATATCTGCTTTGAGAGAACCAGGCAGGTTGAGGCAATGAAAAAGGAGGATGATTCCCCCTCCACAGGATGAGGGAGGATTTCTCTGCAGAGGTGATGTGTGAGCTGTGGTCTGAAACATGAGAAAAATCCAGCTATGGCAGGAGGTATGGGAAGTCCATTTAGGGCAGGGGAGAGCATGTGCAAAAGTCCTGAAGAGGGAAAGCACTTGGCATTTACAGGAGCAGAAAAGAAGCCCAGATGCCTGATGCACAATGAGCAAGAGGAAAAGAACAGAGGGTGGCAGGCAGGGTCAGATCATGCTAGGACTGGTTTTTTTTTTTAAGAGACATGGTCTCACTCTGCCACCCAGGCTGGAGTGCAGTGGGGCAATCATAGCTCACTGCAGTCTCAACCTCCTGGGTTCAAGGGATCCTGCCATCTCAGCCTCCCAAGTAGCTGGGACTATAGGAATGAGCCCCACCATGCCTGGCTAAGTTTTTTATTATTAGAGAGAGGAGTCTTCCTATGTTGCCTATGTGGGGCTCAAACTCCCAGACTCAAGTGATCCTCCCATCCTGGCCTCAAAAAACACTGGAATTACAGGTGTGTGCCACCATATCTGGCAAAGATAGGGAGTTTAGAAAATGCTTCACTTTTAATTTTTGTGGGTACATAGTAGGTGTATATATTTATGGGGTGCATGAGATGTTTTGGTACAGGCATATAATGTGTAATAATCACATGAGGGTTAATGGGATACCCATCACCTTAAGCATTTGTCCTTTCTTTGTTTTACAAACAATCCAATTGTGCTCTTATCGCCTTTTTTTTTTTTTTTTTTTTTTGAGATGGAGTCTAGCTCTGTCGCCTGAGTCAGAGTGCAGTAGTGTGATCTTGGCTCACTGCAACCTCCACCCCCCTCCCCCAGGTTCAAGCAATTCTCCTGCCTCAGCCTCTTGAGTAGCTGGGATTACAGGTGTGTGCCACCACACCTGGCCAATTTTTGTATTTTTAGTAGAGACAGGGTTTTGCCATGTTTGTCAGGCTGGTCTCGAACTCCTGACCTCAGGTGATCCACCTGCCTCAGCCTCCCAAAGTGCAGGGATTACAAACATAAGCCACCACATCTGGCCTCTTTTAGCTATTTTTAAATATAAATTATTGTTTACTACAGTCACCCTGTTGTACTACCAAATACTACATTGTATTCGTTCTAACTGTATTTTTGTACGCATTAATCATTCCTGTGCACCCCCTCCAGCCCACTGCAGTTCCCAGCCTCTGGTAACTATCATTCTACTCTCTATCTTCATGAGTTCAATTGTTTTTTTAGCACCCACAAATGCCTGGGAACATGCAAAATTTGCCTTTCTGTGTCTGGCTTATTTTAGTTAACATAGTGATCTCCAGTTCTACCCATGTTGTTGCAAATAACAGGATTCTATTCTTTCTCATGGCTGAATAATATTCCATTGTGTATATGTACCACATTTTCTCTATTTATTCACCTGTTGATGGACACTTAGATTGCTTCCAAATCTTGGCTATTGTTAATAGTGTTGCAATAAATATAGAAATGCAGATATTTCTTCGATATACTGATTTTCTTTCTTTGGGGTATACACTTAGCAGTAGGATTACTGGATTATGAATTAGCTCTATTTTTAGCTTTTTGAGGACCCTCCAAACCGTTCTTCATAGTGGTTGTACTAATTTACATTCCCACCAACAGTGTACCAGGGTTCCCTTTTCTCCACATCCTGAATAGCATTTGTTATTGCCTGTCTTTTGGATATAAGCCATTTTAACTGGGGTGGGATGATAGCTCATTGTAGTTTTGATTTCTGTTTCTTTGATGATCAATGATGTTGAGCACATTTTCATATACCCATTTATCATTTATGTCTTCTTTCGAGAAATGTGTATTCTGATCTTTTGCCCATGTTAAAATCAGATTATTAGACTTTTTTTCCTATTGAGAGAGAGAAAAAAATGAAAGAAAGACAAGAAGGAAGGAATGAAGGAAGGAAAGAAGGAAAAAGAAAGAAAGAAGAGAGAGAAAGAAAGAGAAAGAGAAAGAAAGAAAAAAGAAAGAAAAGAAAAGAAAAGGGAAAAGAAAGAGAAGATTGCATGGAGCGATAGAGAAGTACATAGTCAGTAGTCTAAGGGCACATCATATACCTGGAAAAACTAATACGGAATCGCTGGCCTCCATCCAACCCTGGCTAAGCTATTGAATTTCAATGATAAACAAAGTATTCCCATGGCCTTTGGGCAGGAAAACGTAAGTGCGTGTGAGAATAACCTCCAGCCAGCCTCAGAGCCTTCCATAACCCCAGCCAGAGCTAGATGACAATAAAGCCAGAACTTAAAGGAAGAACTGAAGAAAAGGAAAATGAATCAAGAATATTCTCCCAGGCCAGGTGCGGTGGTTCACGCCTGTAATCCCAGCACTTTGGGGGGCTGAGGTGGGTGGATCACCTGAAGTCAGGAGTTTGAGACCAGCCTGGCCAAGATGGTGAAACCCCGTCTCTACTAAAAATACAAAAATTAGCTGGGCATGGTAGCGTACACCTATAATCCAAGGTACTCAGGAGGCTGAGGTGGGAGAATTGCTTGAACTTGGGAGGTGGAAGTTGCAGTGAGCTGAGATTGCACCACTGCACTCCAGCCTGGGTGACAGAGCAAGACTCTGTCTCAAAAAAAAAAAAAAAAAAAAAAAAAAAAAAAAAAAAAGAATAGTTATCCAAGTATAAATGCATTAAACAGAAACTCTCAAACATGAATCAGTTCCAAAAATACAGCTGCTGTGGGTGAAAATAGAAACTGCAGGTTAAAAAGAATCATGATACTTTTATTATCTCTTTTCATAATTTTAATGAATGTTGAATAAAAAGATATAACTTTCACATATCTGAAGTTCAGAAATTGTCCCACCTTACTTTAGTTTCTTCAGCTTCTGTTGTATCAAGCAAAATGAAAATTATATATGTTTAAACTAAAACACATATAAAACACATAAAGTTATCTATTTTTTTGAGACAGTGTCGCTTGGTTGCCAGGCTGCAGTGCAGTGGCACGATCTCAGCTCACTGCAACCTACACCTCCCAGGTTCAAGCGATTCTCCTGCCTCACCCTCCCAAGTAGCTGGGATTACAGGCACTTGCCACCACGCCCAGCTAATTTTTGTATTTTTAGTAGAGACAGGTTTTCATCATGTTGGCCAGGATTGTCTCAATCTCCTGACCTCGTGATCTGCCTGCCTCGGCCTCTGAAAGTGCTGGGATTACAGATGTGAGCCACAGCACCAGGCAAAGTTATTTTTAATCCATTAATACATCTACTTACCTAACTACCTATTTGCACAAAAAGAGGTATGAATTATCACCTTTTTTTTTTTTTTTTCGAGACAGAATCTCTTTCTGTTGCCCAGGCTGGAGTTGGAATTGTGTAATCTTGGCTCACTGAAACCTCTGTCTCCAAGGCTCAAGCGATTCTCGTGTCTCAGCCAGGCATGAGCTATGAGGCCTGGACATACCACATAATGTTGAGTTATTTCTTGGTGGTTGAAAATTCCATTATTATTTATTACTTGCTTGTTTGTACTTGTTTCTCTCCCTCTCTCCCACTCCCTCTCTCTGACAGGATCTCACTCTGTTACCCAGGCTGCAGTCTCAAACTCCTGGGTTCCGTGATCCACCTGCCTCAGCCTCCCGAGTAGCTGGGACTAAGGGTGCACATTACCATAACTGGTTTTTAAGTTTTTATGGAGATGAAATCTTGCTATATTCCTCATGCTGGTCTCATACTCCTGGCCTTCAGCAATCTTTCTACCCTGCCTTCCCAAAGTGCTGGGATTACAGGTGTGAGCTATAGCACCCAGCATGCTGTATAATTTTATAGGACTTAGATTTTATATAATAATTACAAATAATTTTTACAAAAGCAGTAGCCATTCTAAACTTTTTAAAATTAAGCAGTAATTAAGAATGAGGCACAGAAAGTAGTATTAATTCAGCACCTATTATATACTAGATATTTTGCATAGAGCGGATCACCTAGCCCACATATCAAGGCAGGAATTATAATCTTTATTTTCCAGGAGATGAAACTGTGGATTACAAGCATTTGTTAATTCTAGAGTTACACAGCAGCTGCCAAAATAAGTTCCCTCTTCCCAGCAGCCTGCCCCCTGCTGGTTTTATCAAATTCAACAGCCCCCCACTTCCACCCCAACATCGGTGCACAAGAATGTTCACACACACACAGATTTCTGCTATATTCCATCTGCCTAGGCCAGGAGCTTGTCATGACAAACCAAATGTAATACCTATTTCCTGACCAAAGCTGTTATTCAGTATCTACGATTTGAGAAATAGTTTGATTTCACCCTGACAAGGATCACACTGAGGTCTTAAAAGAAGTAATAATTACAAACCATCAAAGTCTATGTGAAAGGGTGTGGTGTTCAGATATATCCAGCCCTTTGAGATGCTCTGCTGGAAGGTGGTTGAGGTGCAAAGTACTATTGACTCATGGTCATCTTGGTCCATGGTCATTAATAATGACAGTTTGTACTTTTGTGTTTGTGCTAAGGGTGGTTTTGAAACCTGGAAGAAGCTTATCAATGTCTAGGTATTCAAATATCTCTTTCACAATGTATGTGTGTGTGTGCTATGAAAATACATACACACATATATTCACATATGAATGTATACACATATTTATATATTTACACTATACTAATAAAAAAGTAAATTCTTTTTTTTTCTTTTTAAGATGGAGTCTCAATCTGTCACCCAGGCTGGAGTGCAGTGGCATGATCTCAGCTCACTGCCACCTCCGCCTCCCAGGTTCAAGCAATTCTCCCGCATCACCCTCCGGAGTATCTGGGATTACAGATGCCTGCCACCACACCTGGCTAATTTTTGTATTTTTAGTAAAGACGGGGTTTCATCATATTGACCAGGCTGGTCTTGAACTCCTGACTATGTAATCCACCCACCTCATCCTCCTAAAGTGCTGGGATTACAGGCATGAGCCACGGTGCTGGCATAAAGGAAATTCTTAATAATCCATGAAAAGAAAATGGTAGGCCAGATATCGTGCCTCCCACCTGTAATCCCAGCACTGCAAGAGGCTGAGGGGGGAGGATGGCTTGAGCCCAGGAGTTTGAAACCAGCCTGGGAAACATGGTGAGACCCCCTCTCTACAAGAAATATAAAAATTACCTGGGCATGGTGGCTCATACCTGGGGTCCCAGCTACTCAGCAGGCTGAGGTGGGAGGATCACTTAAGCCAAGAAAGAAGAGGTTGCAGTGAGCTGGGATAATAACACCACACTCCATCCTGAAAAAGTGGTACCTTGCCTCAAAAAAAGGGAAAAAATTGGTATCCATGAAAAATTTAAAATATCTATATATACATAAATCTATACAGAAATACTATATTAATCAAAAAATAAATTCTTAATAGTTCATGACAGGCAAATAGCAGGCCAGGCACAGTGGCTCATGCTTGTAATCGCAGCAATTTGGGAGGCTCAGGCAAAAGGATTACTTTTGTCCAAAAGTCTTGGAACAGCCTGGGCAATATAGTGAGAACCAACCTCTCAGAAAAAAATCAGAAATTAGCCAGGCATGGTGGCTTGTGCCTGTAGTATCAGCTACTCAAGATGCTGGGTTGGGAGAATCACTTCAGGCCAAAAGCCCAAGGCTGCAGTAAGCCATGATCACACGACTACACTCTAGCCTGGGTGACAGAGCAAGACCCTAACAAAACAAAAAAGATAACTGTAAAAAATATAAATATAGAAGACATGAAGTGAGAAGCTGCCATGTCCAGAGTGAAGAAAAAGGGCCCAAGCAAAGGCTCATTCCCATTGCCACCCAAAGAAGACAAAAAAAGATGAGACACTAAATAAAACAAAAATCACTATGAAAGCACACAGGCAGAATTTATTATAAGTTTGTCAGAAATCCACTGTCAAGATTAAAAGAAGAGACAGGTGTTTTGCTAAGGCAATCTGCTCTGAAGTTACCAACAAATAAGAGTCCAGGGAAGCTTTAGGCTCCTTGATGCTGTTGACCATCAAAGACTAAAAAGCTGGATCCAGAAGAGGTGACTGTGAGGCAAGAGCAAAGCCAGAAGAGGACACTAGGAGGCAGAAGATGGATTCGAGTGGCCACTATGAGGCCAAAGATGGGCCAGAAGAGGCCATCGTGAGACAGGAGCTGGTATAACTGAGACCACAGTGAGACAGGAGCTGGGACTTGGGAGGCAGACGTGAGGAAAGAGATGGGCCAGGTGAGGATAGTGAGAGGCAGTAGCTGGGCCTAGAGAGGCCAGTGTGAGGCAGAAGCTGGGTCTATTGAGGCAGCCTTAAGAAGCCATTGTCAGGCAAAAGCTGGGCCTGTTCAGGCTGCCACAAGGAAGGCAGTGAAACTGGAGGGCTGGACTTGAGAAAGTTTTGGGTCTACAAAGGCTGCCAGGAGCTGGACAGGAGCGGAGTCCAAAGAGGTTGTTGTGAGGCAAAAGCTGAACTGGTAGATGCACCTGGGAAGAACAGATGGGCCAGAAGAGGACACTGGGAGGCAGCAACTGGGACTGGAGAGGCAGACTTGAGAAAATCCTGGGTCCACAGAGGTGGCCAAAAGGAAAAAACTCGGCCTGGAAAGACCATTGAGAGTAATGAGGTGGGACTGAAGAGCTCATTTGAAGGCAGCAGCTGGGGCTGTCGAAGCTGCTGAAAGGCAGGAGTTTTGGATTGGGAAGGCCACAGTGAGGCAAGAGCTGGGCATGGAGAGTGCGCTGTTAGGCAGAGGCTGGGCCACTACAGGCATTTGAAAGGTAAAAGCATGAGGTGGCTTGGGTCTAAAAAAAAAACACTCAAAGACAGGAGCTGGGCCTGGAGAAGCTGATGGAGAAAGTTTTTCACCTGTAGAGGCAGACGGGAGGCAGGAGCTGGGCTTGGAGAGGCCGGCTTGAGGAAGCTTTGGTCCTAAAAAGGTCAACGGGAGGCAAAAGCTAAACGTAGAGAGGCCGACATGAGGAAGTTTTGTGACAAGAGACCCACAAAAGGCTGGAGCCGAGACTGGAGACTTGAGGAAGATTTGGGCCTACGAGGCAAAAGGTGGGCATGGAGGGCCCACAAAGGCTGGCAGGAGCTGGGCAGGAGCTGAGCCCAAAGAGGTTGTTTGTTGTGAGGCAGGAGTTGGGCCTGTCGATGAAGCCAGAAGGAAGAGGAAGAGCTGGGCCTGGAGAGGCCGCCAGGAGGGAGGCAGAGGCTGGGCCTCTAGAGGCCAATGGGAGGCAGGAGCTGGCCCTGAAGGGGCCCACTTGAGGATGCATTGCACCTGGAGAGGTTGCCGGGAGGCCGGAGCTGGGCCTGGAGAGGCAGACTTCAGGACGATTTGGGCCTGCAGAGGATGCCAGGATGCCCAAGCTGGGCCTAGAGGAGCTGACTAGAGGAAGTATGGGGGCCCAGAGACACCATCAGAGGGCAGGAGTTGAGCCTGGAGAGGCCACCATGTGGCTTGAGCTGGACCCAGAGAGCTTCACTTGAAGAAGTTTTGGGCCTATAAAGGCCACCAGGAGCTGGGCAGGAGCTGAGTCCAAAGAGGTTGCTCTGAGGCAGGAGTTGGGCCTGTCGACGCAGCTGGGAAGAAGAGCTGGGCCTGGAGAGGATGCCAGGAGGCTGTAGCTGGTCCTGGAGAGGCCAACTTGAGGAGGTTCTGGGCCTGAAGAGGCCGCCAAAGGGGACAAACTGGGCCTGGAAAGACCACTGTGAGGAGTGAGCTGGGCCTAAAGAGGCCATCGGGAGGCAGGAGCTGGGCCTGTCGAAGGTGCCAGAAGGCAGGAGCTTTGGACTGGTGTGGCCACAGTGAGGCCAAGAGCTGGGCATGGAGAGTCTGCTGTGAGGCAGAGGCTGGGCCTGTATAAGGGCCCTTGGGAGGCAGGAGGCTAGGCCTGGAGAGGCCGACTGGAGGTCAAGTTCTGGGCCTGAAGAGGCTACCACAAGTCAAAAGTGGGTCCTGGGAAGGCCACAGAGAGGCATGAACTGGGCTGGGCCTAAAGAGGCGATTGGGAGGCAGGAGGAGCTGGGCCTGGAGAGGCTGACTAGAGGAAGTTGTGCACCTGGAGAGGCTGCTGAGAGGCAAGAGCTGGGCTGGGGGAGGCCGACTTGAGGACGATTTGGGCCTGCAGAGGCCACCGGGAGGCAGGAGCTGGCCCTGGAGAGGCTGACTTGAGGGCAAATTGGGCCTGCAGAGGCCACCAGGAGGAAGAGCTGGGCCTGGAGAGGCCAACTGGAGTAAGTTCAGGAACTGGAAAGGATGCAAAGGAGCAAATGCTAGGCCTGGAAAGGCCACCATTGAGACATGAGCTTGACCTACGGAGGCCACTGGGAGGCAGGAGCTGGGCCTTCAGAGGCTGTGGAAGGGCAGGAGCTTGGCCCGAGGATGCCACAGCGAGGCAAGAGGTGGGCCTGGAGGGCCTACTGCAAGGTGGAGGCTGGGCCTGGAGAGGGCGCCAACAGGCAGGGGCTGGGCCTGGAGAGGCCACGAGAGGCATGAGCTGGGCCTCAACAGGCCAGTGTGGGGGAAGACCTCAGCCCAGAGAGGCCAGTGTGAGGCAGGAGCTCACACCTCTGGGTGGGTTGCAAGAGGTATGAGTTGGGCTGAAACAGGCCGCTGTGAGGGAGGAGCTGGGCCTGTTGAGTCTGCTGGGAGGCAGGCAGGAACTTGGTCCCAGGAAGCTGCCATGAGGAAAGAGCTGGGCCTGGAGAGGCCCCTGGGAGGCAAGAGCGGGGCCTGCAGAGGTTGCACTCCAGTCAGAGCTGGGTCTGTGAAGGCCACAGGGAGGCAGAAAGTGGGCCTACAGAATTTTGGCTGGAGAAAGGTTTGGGCCTACAAAGGCTGGTGGGAGCTGGGCAGGAGCTGAGCCCAAAGAGGTTGTTTGTTGTGAGGCAGGAGTTGGGCCTGTTGACTCAGCCAGGAGGAAGAGGAAGAGCTGGGCCTGGAGAGGTTGCCAGGAGGGAGGCAGAGGCTGGGCCTCTAGAGGCCAATGGGAGGCAGGAGCTGGCCCTGAAGGGGCCCACTTGAGGATGTGTTGTGCCTGGAGAGGCTGCCGGGAGGCCAGAGATGGGCCTAGAGAGGCTGACTTCAGGATGATTTGGGCCTACAGAGGCTGCCGGGAGGCCCAAGCTGGACCTAGAGAAGCTGACTGGAGGAAGTTTGGGGGCTCGAAGACACCATCGGAGGGCAGGAGCTGAGCCTGGAGAGGCCACTGTGAGGCCTGAGCTGGGCCTGGAGAGCTTGGTTTGGGGAAGTTTTGGGCCTACAAAGGCTGCCAGGAGCTGGGCAGGAGCTGAGTCCAAAGAGGTTGCTGTGAGGCAGGAGCCAGGCCTGTAGACACAGCCGGGAGGAAGAGCTGGGCCTAGAGAGGATGCCGGGAGGCTGCAGCTGGGTCTGGAGAGGCAGACTTGAGGAGGTTCTGGGCCTGGAGATGCTGCCAAAGTGGACAAACTGGGCCTGGAAAGGCCATTGAGAGGAGTGAGCTGGGCCTAAAGAGGCCATCAGGAGGCAGGAGCTGGGCCTGTCAAAGGTGCCAGAAGGCAGGAGCTTTGGACTGGGGTGGCCGCAGTGAGGCCAAGAGCTGGGCCTGTATACAGGCCCTCGGGAGGCAGGAGGCTGGGCCTGGAGATGCCGACTGGAGGTCAAGTTCTGGGCCTGAAGAGGCCACCAAAAGTCAAAAGCAGGGCCTGGGAAGGCTGCCGAGAGGCATGAGCTGGGCTGGGCCTAAAGAGGCGATTGGGAGGCAGGAGGAGCTGGGTCTGGAGCGGCTGACTGGAGGAAGTTGTGCACCTGGAGAGGCCACTGAGAGGCAAGAGCTGGGACAGGGGAGGACAACTTGAGGACAACTTGGGCCTGCAGAGTCCACCGGGAGGCTGCAGCTGGGTCTGGGGAGGCCGACTTGAGGTGGTTCTGGGCCTGGAGAGGCCACCAAAAGGAACAAACTGTGCCTGGAAAGGCCATTGTGAGGAGTGTGCTGGGCCTAACAAGGCCATCGGGTGACAGGAACTTGTCCTGTAGAGGCTGATTTGAGGAAGTTTTGCACCTGGAGAGTTCATTGAGAGGCAAGAGCTGGGCCTGGAGAGGCAGACTTCAGGACAATTTGGGCCTGCAGCAGCCATGAGGAGACAGGAGGCTGGCCCTCGAGAGGCCGAGATGAGGACTATTTTGGCCTGCAGAGTCCGCTGGGAGGAAGAGCTGGGCCGGGAGAGGCCAACTAGAGGAAGTTCAGGGCCTGTAGAGGATGCAAAGAAGCAAACGCTAAGCTTGGAAAGGGTGTCGAGAGGCATGAGTTTGGTCTACAGAGTCCACTGCGATGCAGGAGATGAGCCTGTAGAGGCTGATTTCTGGACAATTTTGGGCTGCAGACACCGTTGGGAGGAAGAGCTTGGCCTGGACATGCTGACTGGAGGAAGTTTTGGGCCTGGAGTGGATGTCAAAAAGCAAAATCTTGGCGAGAAAAGACCACCAGGAGGCCCGAGCCTTGCCTATAAAGGACATTGAGAGGGAGGAGCTGGGCCTGTAAAGGCTGCTGAAAGGCAGGAGTTTGGCATGAGGAGGCCATGATGAGGCAAGTTGTGGGCCTTGAGGGTCTACTGTGAGGTAGAGTGTGGGCCTGTGTAGGCCGATGTGAGGCAAGAGTTGGGCTGGGAGGAGCCGTCTTTTGAACAATTTGGGCCTACAGAGGCTGCCAGGAAGCAAGAGCTGTGCCTGGAGATTCCTCCTCTTGGCATGAGCTGGGCCTATAGGAGCCATTGTGAGGCAGCACCTGGACTTGTCGAGACTGCTGGGAGGCAGGCCGATTTGTGGCCTGGGGAGGTCACCGTGAGGCAAAGGCTCTTTTTGGAGGATGCCATGAGGCAGACAGAAACTCGGCTTTTGGAGGCCACCGTGAGCGAATAGCTGGACCTGTAGAGGCTGCCGGGAGGCTGAAGGTGGGCCTGGAAAGCCTGACTTTAAGAATTCTGTGGCCTAAACAGGCTGCCAGCAACTCGGCAGGAGTTGGGCCAAAGGAGGTTGTTGTGAGGCAGGAAATGGGCCCGTAGACACAGCCGGGAGGATGAGCTCATCCTGGAGATGCTGAATTGAGGACATTCTAGGCCTGGAGAGGCTGCAAAAGGTAAAATCTGTGCCTGGAAAAGTCACCCTGGGGCATGAGCTTGGCCTAAAGAGGCCATTTTGAGGCAGGAGCTGGGTCTGTAGAGGTTGCTGAAAGGCAGCTGCTTGGCCTGAGGATGCTACAGTGAGACATGAGCTGGGTTTGGAGGTTCCACTGTGAGGTAGAGGCTGGGCCTGTAGAGGCCAACAGTAGGCAGGAGCTGGGCCTGAAACTGCTGATTTGAGTAAGTTTGCAGCTCTGAGAGTATGCCAGGAGGCAGGAACTGGACCTGGATAGGCAATGACCGGCATGAGTTGGGCCTAAACAGCCCAGTGTGAGGGAGGACCTGTGCCTGTCGAGGCTGCTGCCAGGCAGGCAGAAACTTGGCCTAGGGCAGCTGCCATGAGGAAAGAGCTGTGCCTGGAGAGGCCCCTGTGATGCAAGAGCAGGGCCTGCAGAGGTTGTTCTCAAGTCAAAGCTGGGCCTGTACATGCCACCAGGAAGTAGAAGGTGGGTCTGGAGAGTTTGACATGAGGAAGTTTTGGGCCTATGGCAGCCGCCGTGGGCTGTGCAGGAACTGGGCCAAAAGAGGTTGTTGTGAGGCAACAGTTGTGCCTGTAAACTCAGCCAGGAGGAAGAGCTGGGCCTGGAGAAGCCACCATGAGGCAGAGGCTGGGCCTGTAGAGGCCAATAGAAGGCAGGAACTGGGCCTGGAGAGGCCAACTTGAGGAGTTTTGGGCCTTCAGAGGCTGCCAAGGGGGGCAGTAGTTGGGACTAGAGAGGCTGAATTTAGGAAGTTGTGGGCCTGGAGATGACATCCTAGGACTGGAACTGGGCCTGGAGAGGCCACCATGAGGCATGAGCTGGGTGTAGAGAGGCCAGTGTGAGGTAGGACCTGGGCCTGTCCAGGCTGCTGGGAGACAGGTAGGAACCTGGCCAGGGAAGGCTGCCATGAGACAAAAGTTGGGCCTGGTAAGGTCCTTGTGGTGCATGAGCTTGGCCTAAAGAGGCCACTGAGTGGCAGGAGCTGGGCCTGTAGAGGCTGCTGAAACACTGTAGCTTGGCTTGGGGGGGACACGGTGAGGTAGATAGTGGGCCTGAAGAATCTGCTGTGAGGTCGATGTTGGGCCTGTAGAGGCCAACAGAAGGCAGGAGCTGGGCCTGGAGAGGCCACCAAGATGCAGGAGCTGGGCCTGGAGAGGCTGCCAAGAAGCAAGAGCTGGGCCTAAATAAGCCAGTGTGAGGCAAGAGATCAGCCTGGAGAGGCCGACTTGAGGAAGATTTTGGCCTGGAGAGCCTGTCAAAGGCAGGAGCTGGGCCTGGAGAGGCCACCATGAGGCATGAGCTGGGCCTAATTGAAGACAGTGTGAGGCAGGAACTGGGCCTGTTGAGGATGCTGGGAGGCAGGCAGGAACTTGGCCAGAGATGACCTCCATGAGGCAAGAGCTGAGCCTGTAGAGGCTGCTGTCATGCAGGAGGTGGACCTGTTCAGGCCACCGGGAGACAGAAGGTTGTGCTAGAGAACTTGATGTGAGGAAATTTTGGGCTTACAAAGGCCGCCAGGAGCTGGGCAGGAGCTGAGTGGAAAGAGGTTGTTGTGAGGCAGGAGGTGGACCTGGAGATGCAGCCAGGAGGAAGAGCTGGGCCTGGAGAGTCCCACTTGAGGAAGTTCTGGGCCTGGAGAGGCTGCTAAAAGGCAAAAGCTGGGCCAGAATGGCCATGTGAGGCATGAACTTGGTATAAAGAGGTCATTGGGAGGCAGGAGCTGGGCCTGTTGAGGCTGCTGAAAGGCAGCAGATTGGCCTGCAGGGCTGCGGTGAGGCACAGGCTGGGCCTCGAGAGTCTGCTGTGAGGCAGAGTTGAACCTGTAGAGGCCGATGGGAGGCAGGAGTTGGGCCTGGAATGGCGGACTTGAGAAAGTTCTTGGTCTGGAGAGGCCGCTGAGATGCAGGAACTGGGCCTGGAGAGGCCACTGAGAGGCATGAGCTGTGCCTAAAGAGGCCAGTGTTCAGCAGGAGTTGTGCCTGAAGAGGCTGACTTGAGGAAGTTTTGGGCATGGACAGCTGTGGGGGGGCAGGAGCTAGGCCTGGAAAGGCCACCGTGAGGCATAAGCTGGGCCTAATGATGTTAGTGTGAGGTAGGATCTGGGCCTGTCAAGGCTGCTGGGAGGCAGGTAGGAAATTGTTCGGGGAAGACATCCATGAGGCAAAAGCTGGGCCTGGAGAGTCTGCTGGGAGGCAAGAGCTGGGCCTGGAGAGGCCGTTGTCACGCAGGAGCTGGGCCTGTCCGGGATATTGGGAGGCAGAAAGTGGGCCTGGAAAGCTTGACTTGAGGCAGTTTTGGGCCTACAAAGGCCACTAGGAGCTGGGCAGGAGCTGAGCCAAAAGAGGTTATTGTGAGGCAGAAGTTGGGCCCCCAGTCACAGCCAGAAGAAAGAGCTTGGCCTGTAGAGGCCACCTGGAAGCAGCAGCTGGGCCTGGAGAGGCTGACAGAAGGCAGGAGTTGGGCCTTGAGAGGTTGACTTGTGGACATTTTGGGCCTGGATAGGCCACCCAGAGGCAGGAGCTGGGACTAAACAGGCTGTTGTAAGGCAGGAGCTGGGCCTGTACAGGCTGTTGGGAGGCAGAAGGTGGGCCTCAAGAAGAGCTGGCCTGTACAGACTGGTGGGAGGCAGAAGGTGCACCTCAAGAGGAGGAGCTGGGTCTTGGAAGGTGGCCATGAGGCAAAAGCCAGCCCTTGGGAGGCCGATGAGAGGCAGGAGCTGGGGTCAACTTGAGAAAGCTCTGGGCCTGGAGAGAAGGCTGGGAGGCAGGAGCTGGGCCAAAAGAGGCTGTTGTAATGATGGAGTTGGGCCTGTGGAGGCTGCCGTGATACAGTAGCCTCATCTGCGGAGACTGTCATGAGGTAGGGTATGGGCCTAAATAGGCCATTGGGAGCCATGAGCTTGGTCTGTAGAGGCCAATTGGAGAAAGTTCTGGGCCTGAAGAGGCTGCTGGGAGGCGGGAGCTGGACCAAAAGATTCAAGCACATTACATTTATTAGGTACTTTATTTCCACTATTCTGTTGTAAGATATAATGAAATATAGAATTCATCATAATGTAGAATCAGTGGGCGTGTTAACCTTGTTTTCCTGTGACTAGATGGTCCCATCCTCTGAGCGTGATGGGAGAAAGTGATAATCAGGCATTAGATTCTCATAGGGACAGCGCAACCTAGATCCCTCACATGTACGGTTCGCAATAGGGTATGAGCTCCTGTGAGAATCTAATGGTGCTGCTGATCTGAGAGAAGGTGGAGCTCAGGCAGGAATGTGAGCAAATGGGAGTGGCTGTAAATACAGATGAAACTTCCCTCACTCGACACCACTCACCTCCTGCTGTGTGGCTCCTTACATCTCCATGGCTCAGGGGTTGGGGACCCCTGCTCAAGTGCATCCAAAAGGACCCTTCCCACACCAGTCTTCATAGTGGTCAAGTGCAGCAACCACTTAACTCCCAAGGCTTGTGACTCAGCTGGCATTTCATCACTATCAACAGTAAGTGGTAGCTTGAGTCATTGTGAAGTCACTACCTGGAAATCACCAGCATCTCATTTCCCATTGGCAAGGAGCTCAGCACTGCCCCTTGGATAACCAAGCCTATGCCCAAATCCTATCTGTGTGGGTTTATCTCCTGGGACCCTTCCTAGCATATTAGTCAGAGTCCAATCAGGAGACATAAACCACTCAAAAGTTTAAAGTGGTAAAATTTAATACAGAGAATTATTCATTATAACAGGGGAACAGCATAATGAGAGACTGGCTAGCACAAAGTAAAGAGAACTCTAGAGAATATAGGACTAGCCCAGGCCAGGCATTGTGGCTCATGCCTGAAATTCCTGCAATTTCAGAAGCCAACGCAGGAGGATTGCTTGAGGCCAGGAGCTAGAGACCGGCCTGGACAACACAGCAAGACCCTGTCTCTATCCAAAAAAAAGAAAAAAAAATTAGCTGGGAGTGGTGGTGCACACTTGTAGTCCCAGCTACTCGGGAAGCTGATGTGGGAGGGTAGTTTGAGCCTGGGAGGTCAAGGCTGCAGTGAGTGATGATTATGCCATTACAGTCATCAAGCCTGGGTGACAGAGCAAGACCCCATCTCAAAGAACAAAACAACAACAACAAAACAACAACAACCATTTACAGACAGAAAAGAAATAGAGATAATAAGCTAAGGAAAGATGTTGAAATGTGACAGATAAAGTAATATGAGGTCTTTTATCTATTTAAAATAATGAAAAAAGTATTAAATTATAATACCCTGTGCTGGCAAAGGTGCAGTGAAATGGACACTTTCTTATACTATGAGTGGTGTTTAAATTGTACATAAGCCTTCCAGGGTAAAGCTTGGCAATTTTTTTAAATAATAGAGACACAATCTCACCTACTGCGTCCTCCAACTCTTGGCCTCAAGCAATCCTCCTGCCTTAGCTTCCAAAGGGCTGGGATTATAGCTGAGAGGCACCCAAAACCTTGACCATTTACATCAAGGGCAATGAGAATGTCCATTCACCATGACTCACAGTAATCTTACTTCTGGAAATACCTTGGGGAGACAATTCAATCTAAACAAAATGTCAACTGTACAAACACAGTGAAAATCTAGGAGTAATTGAAGACAGAGTAGTTAAGTGAAATAAGAAACAGTTATAAGAAATTAAACTATGATATTTATAGGCACCTGGTAAAAGGTCACTTGATGTTACCTGGTACTTTTTTAAGACAGGGTCTCACTCTGCCACCCAGGCTGGAGTGCAGAGGCCTGATCATGACTCACTGCAGTCTCAGCTTCCCTGAGCTCAAGTGATCCTCCTACCTCAGTCTCCCAAGTAGCTGGGACTATAGGAACACATCACCACACTAGGCTAATTCATGTATTTTTCTGCAGGGATGGTGACTCCCTTTGTTTCCATGACCTGTCTCAAACTCTTGGCCTCAAGCCATCCTCCTGCCTCAGCCTCCTAAAGTGTTGTGATTAATGGTGTGAACCACCACACTTGGCCAGCTGCTACTTTTATCAACATTATTATTATTCCACTCTATTAAAAATTATCTGTCATTACAAATTATTATTTTAAAGGCTATGGAAAAATATGTGTCCTACAGCATAATTGTAAAAACACATACAGTCATCCCTTGCTATACAGAGAGGATTAGTTCCAGCCACCTATCTCTGCATATACCAAAATCCATGCATACTCACATTTTGCAGTCACCCCTTTGGAACCCACATATAGGAAAAATCCAAATATGAGTTGGGTATAGCGGCAAGCACCTATAGTCTCAGCCACTTCGGGGGCTGAGGTGGGAGAATAGCTTGAGCCTGGGAGGTTGAGATCGCAGTAAGCTGTGATAGCACCACTACACTCCACCCTGGACAACAGAGCAAGACTTTGTCTTGGAAACAAACAAACAAACAAACAAACAAAAAAGTTAGAAATTCTAATGAGGTCTGTTGGGCTAAATTCCATATAAGCAAAGTATGTATTAATGAAGCAAATCATGATAAATTAGTACAACAGACTTTCTAGAGTCTCTGACAATAAAGGTAAGAAAAATGCAAAACACAGAGATATATGGTAAAAAAAGAAATTAGGGAAGCATTCTATATGTTTAATAAGAAGACGCTGGCCATGTTTGTGCAGCAGCAGTTTGTCACGATATGACACACCTTGGAGAGAAGTTAACAGATGAGGAAGTTGATAAAAATGATCAGAGAAGCAAAATACTGATAGCGATAGTGAAGTAAACCACAAAGAATTTCCATAACTGATGTCAGCAAAGTGGGAATATTGTACAGTGTGCGTTGAAGTTCCTATACAACATTGTTTATTTGCCTTTTGTTTGTTTGTAAGGAACATATATACTAAAAGTTCCTCTTGCTGTCGAAAGAATATGTGTGAATAAGTTATTTGAACTTACTTTTCTGTTTTTCTACTTTTCCTGCCATCATCCCACAGCTTTTAGAAATTTTTTATTTTTTTAGAAAATTGAACAAGTGCTCGTTGTGGTGGCTCATACCTCTAGGATGGGAGGCAGAGTTGGAAGGGTCACCTGAGGCCAAGAGTTTGACACCAGCCTGACCAATAAAGTGAGACCCCATGTCTACAAAATAATTTAAAAATTAGCCAGGTGTCATCATGTATACCTACAGTCCCAGCTACTCGGGAGGATGAGGCAGGAGGATCCTTAGCCCAGCAGTTCAAGGCTGCAGTGAGCTGTGATGGCACCACTGCACTCCAGCCTGGGTGACAGGGTGAGACGCCATCTCCTAAAAGAAAAAAGAAAGAAAATAGATTAAGTAACAAGTTGTATGTGGCTTACTCTGAATATTTCTAAACTAGAAGTTCTCAGTCTTTTGGGGTCTATCTTTTGGGGTCTAGCACCCCTTTACATTTTTTAACTTTATTGAAGATCCCTAAGACTGTTTCTTTATACAAATGTATTAAAATTAGAAAATATGACAAAATTTTAAAAATATTATAAATTTTATAAATATTATAAAACCATTACATGTTGATATAATACAAAATTTTAAAAGTATTTAATATTCATTACATACTAATAATAAAATCATTACGTTAATACTTTTTTTTTTGAGACGGAGTCTCGCTCTTTCCCCAGGCTGGAGTGAAGTGGCACAATCTCGGCTCTCTGCAACCTCCGCCCCCTGGGCTCAAGTGATTCTCCTGCCTCTGCCACCCAAGTAGCTGGGATTACAGGTGCCCACCACCATGCCCGGCTAATTTTTGTATTTTTTTTTTAGTAGAAATGGGGTTTCACCATGTTGGCCAGGCTGGTCTAGAACCCTTGACCTCAGGTGATCCACCCACTTGGGTCTCCCAAAGTACCGGGATTACAGGCATAAGCCACCACACCCACCCCAATTAATACATTTTTAGAAACACCAATTAGTCAGGCAACAACACTGGGCAGGGGTCTCCTCATTCCCAGAGACACAAACCCTACTCCATGGCTCCAGGGTTGCAACGGCTGCAGAGACAAAAGGCTCTGACTTCAGATTTCATTTTTTTACTTGTATTTCTATTTGTACTGTGAGACAGGTCCTGCTCTGTCCTCCAGGCTGGAGTGCAGTTGTGTACTTATAGCTCACTGCAGCCTCAATCTCCTGGGCTCAAGCCATCTTCCTGTCTCAGCTCCCCAGTAGCTGGTACTACAGTTGAGTGCCACCATACCTGGCTATTTTTTAAATTTTTTGTAGAGTGAGTGGTCTTGCTATATTGCCCAAGCTGGCCTCAAACTCTTGACCTCAAGAGATCTGCCCATCTCACCCTCCTGAGTAGCTGGGACTACAAGTACACATCACCATGCTAGCTACATTTATTTTATTAAATTTTGAAAAACATTTTTGTAGAGAGGAGGTCTTGCTATGTTGTCCATGCTTGTCTTGAACTCCAGCTCTTAAAATAAACTCCCATCTCTGCTTCCCAAACAACTGGGACTACAGGCATGAGCCACTGCA
Source organism: Homo sapiens (assembly GCF_000001405.40). Classification (NCBI taxonomy): domain Eukaryota; kingdom Metazoa; phylum Chordata; class Mammalia; order Primates; family Hominidae; genus Homo; species Homo sapiens. The sequence goes on from NC_000011.10 coordinate 50,083,082, forward strand.
CTGAGAATGAAGAGATTTCTTTAATCTAGCATCCCATACTCGGTAGGATTGAGAAAGGCAGTAGTGTTTTTTAAAATTACTTAATAATTCAGTAAGAATCAAACTCAACCTTGACCTCTGCCTTCTCTCACACCTCACATCCAGTCTGTCAGGAAATCCTGTTGACTGTCTTCAACATGTACTGAAGATCCCCCCCAGCAACTCCCTGGCCTTCTCCCCTACTTCTCTCCTCTGACCATCTCTCACCACCACCATGACCCTAGTCAGGACCACTATCATCTCCCACCTGGATGTTGTCACAGCTTGGCCCCCATGCTTCTACCCAAATCTTCCCACAGTCTTTCTCAACTCAGCAGCCAGAGAATGCTTTTAAATCGGGAGACAGATCATGTCACCTCTCTGCTCAGAACCCTCCCACAGTTCCCATCTCAGTCAGAGTAAAAGCCAAAGCCCCAGCAATAACCTCCCAGGGCTTATGCGATGTGTACTGATTCCGTCCTCTAATTCTCTCCCTCTATCCTTCTGCTCCACTGGCCTCCTTCCAGAGCCTCAGACACACCTCAGACACTTTATTCTGTTGTTTCTGCCTATAATCCTCTTCCCTCAGCACCTTGGCCAACTCCTTCCCCTCCTTCAAGTCTTTGCTCAATTTTCACTTAGGAGGTGACCCCTGACCATTCTATTTAACATTGCCATCTGTCCCCATGCCTACCATGCTCATGTCTTCTTTTTCTTTATTTTTTTTTGTTTCTTTCTCTTTCTTTTTCTTTCTTTCTGTCTGTTGGTCTCTCTCTCTCATTCTTTCTGTCTTTCACAAGATCTCACTCTGTCACCAAGACTGGAGTGCAGTGGCACAATCACAGCTCACTGTAACCTCAAATTCCCAGGCTCAAGTGGTCCTCCCACCTCAGCCTCCCTAGTAGCTGGGACTACAAGTGCATGCTATCATTCCTGGCTCATTATTTTAGTATTTTATTTTTTTATTTTATTTTATTTTAATTTTGAGATGGAGCTTCACTCTTCTTGCCCAGGCTGGAGTGCAATGGTGCAATCCCAGCTTACTGCAACCTCCATCTCCTGGATTCAAGTGATTCTCCTGCCTCAGCCTCCCAAGTAGCTGGAATTACAGGTGTGTGTCACCACGACTGGCTAGTTTTTGTATATCTAGTAGAGACAAGGTTTCACAATGTTGGCCAGGCTGCTCTCAAACTCCTGACCTCAGGGGTGATCCACCCACCTTGGCCTCCCAAAGTGCTGAAATTTCAGGCATGAGCCACCGTGCCCAGCCAATTTTTTTATTTTTCATACAGACAAGGTCTCTCCATGTTGCCCAGGCTGGTCTTGAACTCCTGGCCTCAAGTGATCCTCCTGTCTAAATTCCTGAAGTGCTGGGATTACTGGCATTAGCCACCATAACTGGCTACGTGTTCATTTTTTCTTGCTGCTGCAACAGTTTGTAGTTTCCTATATTTAGTGGCTTAAAACACCACAAATCTACCATCTTACAGTTCTGGGGGCCAGAAGCCCAAAATAGGTCTATTAAGGCTAAAGTCAAGGTGTCAGCAGGGCTGCATTCCTTCTGGAGACTCTAAAGTCTTCCCTTAGCTTTTCCAGCTTCTAGAAGCCACCCACATTCTTGGATCATGGCCCCTGACTCCATCTTCAAAGCCAGAAGTGATGCATCTTCAAATCTCCCTCTCTGACCTCTGCTTCCATCACCACATCTCCTGCTCCAATTCTGATTCTCTGACCCTCTTTCTTTTATAAAGATCCTTGTGATTGCTGGGCATGGTGGCTCCCACCCATAATCCCAACACTGGGAGGTCAAGACAGGAGAAACACTTGAAGCCCAAAGTTTGAAACTAGCCTGAACAACATAGTGAGACCCCACCTCTAGAAAAAAAATAAGAATAAATATTAGCCGGACATGGTGGTGTGCATCTGTAGTTCCAGCTACTTGAGAGGCTGAGGTGAGATGATCACTTTAGCCCAGGAGTTTGAGATCAGCCTGGGCGACATAACTAAATCTCATCTCTATGAAAATGAGCTGGTCATGGGTAACATGCATGTGTAGTCCCAGCTACTTGGGAGGCTGAGGTGGGAGAATGGCTTGATCTCAGGAGGTCAAAGCTATAGTGAGCTATGACCTCCTGAGATCATATGACCTCCTGGATGACACAGGGAGATTCTGTCTCAAAAAAAGAAAAGAAAAGAAATACATATTTAATCTCTGTCCCTGGTTCCTGGCACAGAGCTTCTAAAGCTCTTACAAAGACCTCAGTGATAGACATGATAGGAGCATCTTTTGTTTTTAATATTTAATCTTGGTCCCAGGTTTCTAACACAAGAGCCTCTAAGAACTTTGGGGGCAACCACATGATTAGATGCTTGGAACTTTCAGCCTTATGCACTGAACTCCAGGAGGAAGAGAGGCTGAAGATTGACTTAATCACCAATGGCCAAAGATGTTATCAATCATCATGCTTGCATAATACAGCCTCCATAAACACCCTGAATGGGGTTTGCAGAGCTTCTGGGCTTGCTGAACACAGGAGATGCTGGGAAGGTGGCATGTTCAACAGAGGGCATGGGAGATCTGTGCCCCTCCTAACTTACCTTGCCCTGGGCATCTTTCTTTTCTTTTGAGACAGGGTCTGGCTCTTTTGTCCAGGCTGGAGTGCAGTAGCACAATCTCAGCTCACTGCAACCTAAGCCTCCCCAGTCCCCAGCTCAAGGCATCCTCTCGGCTCAGCTTTCCTAGTAGCTGGAATAATAGGTGCACAACATTGCACCTGGTTATTTATTTTTATTTTTTTTTAAATTTTTTGTAGAGACAGGTTTTCACCATGTTTCCCAGGCTGGTCTCAAACTCCTGAGTTTAAGTAATCCCCTCACCTTGGCCTCCCAAAGTGCTGGAATTACAGGCATGAACCACCACATTCAGCAAGTATGTGTCTTTCATTGACTATTTCTGAGATGTATCCTTTACAATGAACCAGTAATAAGAAATGAACGGCCAGATACGGTGGCTCACATCTGTAATCCCAGCACTTTAAGAGGCTGAGGTGGGAGGATCACTTGAGCCCAGGAATTTGTGGCCAGACTGGGCAACACAACAAGACCCCATCTCTACAAAAAATAAAAGAAATTAGCCAGATGTGGTGGTAGAGGCATGTAGTCTCAGCTACTAGGGAAGCTGAGGTGGGAGGACCACTGGAGCCCAGACAGTTGATGCTGCAGTGAGCTATAACTTCACCATTGCACACCCAGCCTGTGCAACAAAATGAGAACCTGTCTCTCAGAGAAAAAGAAAATAAACTGTTGTTCTGAGTTCTGTAAACTGTTCTAGCAAATTATTAAACCCAAGAAGAGGGTCATGGGAACCCCTGATTTGTAACAGGTTGGTCAAAAGTACAGGTGACAACCTAGGACTTGCCATTGGCATCTGAAGTGAGGATAGTCTTATGAGACTGAGCTCCTAGCCTGTGGGGTCTGTGTTAACTCTAGGTAGTGTCAGAATAAAATTGTGGAATACCCAGTTAATATCCAGAACACTGGAGAATTCGGTACACACGTTCAATCAGAAATGTGTAAGTAGAGACAAACATGGACTTTTCTTTCACCTGTCTACCTGCTTAACTGCATAGGAGAGGCAATATGTGGTGCTCATGAACAAAGCAAGCATTGAAGTCAGAAGAGATCCACCATTTGACTCAGTCATAATATCCAAGTGAGCTTGCGCAAATCACTCATTATCCCTAAGTCTTCATCATTTCATTCATAAAATGGGGATAACTGTGGCACCTACCTGTGATTTTGTGAGAATTAATAAGATATTACGCTTGGTGTTATTGTGATCATTATACCTATTCTAAATCATTTGACAAGGACAGTGATGGATGATAACATCAAAAGATTAGAAACTGTAGTGGGGTCTCTCAGGCAAAATTCCATACAAGCAAATTACTGTCTCTACAAAGCATTCCTGTCAAACTTAATTCACCATTTCCTGAAAAAAAGTGCCATCTTCATTGTTCAGGTCTTTACAGTGCTGGTTTCCCTGCCTGGGCAGCTCACTCCATCCCATCCCTCCACTTCCCCCTTCCCTCCCCACTCTCATACCCACTCTTATACAACTCTTCCTCACCTTTCAGGACTTGGCTTCAAAGGTCACCTTAACTAGAAGCTTCTCTCACACTCCAGAAAAGCTTCCCATTGCATATGATGCATGCACTATTATTTGATCATTTTTGAGTCATATTCCAAGCCTTTTTGTACCTGAATAACATGTTGCCCAGTCAGTCTCTCTTCCTGGACTCTGAAGTCTTTCATGGTAGATCCAGCTGAGAGTGACAAAAAGACATTCTTTTGAAATAGAGGGATGACACAGACAGACATACGTTCTTAAACGTTTTAAATGGTATGTGAAAATTTAACAAAATTAAAAGGCTTGGGGGAACACTTAGGAGGGAAAGTTACTGGGAATGTCATAAAGGATTAATTTGTATTTTATTTTATTTTATTTTAATTTTTTGAGACAGAGTCTCATTCTGTCACCTAGGCTGGAGTGCAGTGGTGCAATCAGGGCTCACTGCAGCGTCAACCACCTGGGCTCAGGTAATCTCACTTAATTTTTATTTGGTTTAAAAAATTCAGTCTTGGTTGAGCATGGTGGCTTATGCCTATAATCTCAACACTTTGGGAGGCTGAGAGGGATATATTACTCGATGCTAGCAGTTTGAGATCAGCCTGGGCAACATATTAAGGCCCTGTCTCTACCAAAAAAAAAAAAAAAACTGAGTGACTGTGTGGAAGACAATTTTTCCACAGACTGGGGGTGAAGGAAATGATTTCAGGACGATTCAAGTACATTACATATATTGTGTACTTTATTTCTATTATTACTACACTGTAATATATAATGAAATAATTCTACAACTCACTATAATGCAGACTCAGTGGGATCTCTGAGCTTGTTTTCCTGCAGCTAGACTGTCCATCTAGGGTGATGGGAGACAGTGACAGATCATCAGGCATTAGATTCTCATAAGGAGAGTGAAACCTAGATCCCTCACATGCACATAACAGGGTTCATGCTCCTAGGAGAATCTAATGCTGCTGCTGATCTGACAGGACATGGTGCTTAGGTGGTCATGCAAGTGATGGGAGGGCTAGAAATACAGAAGAAGTTTCCCCTCATTCACCTGTTGCTCACCTCCGGCTCTGTGACCCTGTGGTTGGAGTTCCCTGCTCAAGTGCATTCAAAAGGATCCATCCCATGCCATTCTTCAGAGTCATCTTGACTGCCACAGTGGTCAAGTGTAGCAACTCTAAGCTCACAGGGCTTATGCCTCACCTGGCATTTCATCACAATCAACAGTAAGTGATAGCTTGAGTCATTGTGAGGTCACTTCCTGGAAATTACCAGCATCCCATGTCCCATTGACAAGGAGCTTAGCACTGCTCCTTGGATAACCGAACCTATGCCCAAATTCCATCTGTGTGGGTCTATCTCCTGGGACCCTTCCTAGCATAAATTCTGTATTTGTAGGAGTCCAATCAGGAGACACAAACCACTCAAAAGTTTAAACTAGAATGAGCAAAGTGGCTCACACTTGTCATCCCAGCACTTTGGGAGGCCAACGCGGGTGGATCACTTTGAGCTCAGGAGTTTGAGACCAGCTTGGGAAACATGGTGAAACCCCATTTCTACAAAAAAACACAAAAATTAGCCAGGTGTGGTGGTACATATCTATAGTCCCACCTACTCGGGAGGCTGAGGCAGGAGAACTTCTTGAGCCTGGCAGGTGGAGGTTGCAGTGAGCAGAGATTGTGCCACTGCACTCCAGCCTGGCTGACAGCATGAGACCTGGTATCCAAAAATAAAAAAAAAGAAAAAAGAAAGAAAAAATATATATGTAAATTTAATATAAAAAGTATTAATTTTGGCCAGGTGCGGTGGCTCATGTCTGTAATCCCAGCGCTTTGGGAAGTAGAGGTGGGTGGATCACCTGAGGTCAGGAGTTCGAGACCAGCCTGACCAACATGGAGAAACCACGTCTCTACTAAAAACACAAAATTAGCTGGGCGTGATGGCACATACCTGTAATCCCAGCTACTCGGGTGGCTGAGGCAGGAGAATCGCTTGAACCCAGCAGGTGGAGGTTGCGGTGAGCCAAGATCGTGCGATTGCACTTCAGCCTGGGCAACGAGTGAAACTCCATCTCAAAAAAAAGTATTAATTTTAACAGAGGATCAGCATAATGAGGGACACACTAGCACAAAGTAAAGACAACTCTAGAGAATACAGAACTAGCAGAGGCCAGGCATGGTGTCTCATGCCTGTAATCCCAGCAATTTGGGAAGCCTAGGCAGGAGGATCGCTTGAGGCCAGGAGTTGGAGACCAGTCTGAGCAACATAGTGAGACCCTGTGTCTACCAAAAAAAGAAAAAAAATTTAGCCAGGTGTGGTGGTGGTGCACATCTGTAGTTCCAGCTACTTGGGCATCTAGGGTGGAAGGATCCCTTGAGTCTGGGAAGTCTAGGCTACAGTGAGCCAAAATCATGCCACTGCACTCCAGCTTGGGTGACAGAGACCCTGTCTTAGAAAGAAAAAGAAAAGAAAAGAAAGTGCTAATCCCCCTATGGGGATCTCCTCTTCTCCTCCCCTCTCTGGAACCTCACTTGTCAGTTCTTCCTCCCACTTCCCTGTATCTTTAAACTATCCCCTGCTTTTAGCCCCTTCCCACTATCATTTAAATTACTCAAACTTCTTCTATTTTAAAAACCTCTCCCTAAACTCAGTGTGTCCCCTGCTTTAGGTCCCAGCACACCCACTGAGCCATCTGCTCCCCCTGGTGCCTTCTCCACACAGCAGCCTGAGCCATGTCTCTAATCCATTAATCTCATCACGTTACTCCAAAGTTTACATCACTTCTCCTTGTCTTGGGGATTAAATCCAAACTTCTTAACAGCCCCTGTTCTGCCCTGCCTTGCAAGGCAGCCTCACTGCTTGCCCCTCTCCATTTTACCTGCTGTGGAGTCCAACTGAGCCTCATGTGCCCCATGAATCAGGCATTAGATTCTCATAATGAGCTGAATCCTGCTCTTATGAAATCCACACTCTTTCTCCTCTGGGAGTCTCTGAAGTGAGTGATACCCTCTGCTTAGAATACACTTCCCCTTAAACCTCTACTCTCTTCCTGGATAGCTTTGGGTCCTCTGTCACTTGTCTGCTTTGGCATCACCCCCTCCTGGAAGCCTTCCTTGACTCTCCAGATTCTCAGGAGCATGAGAGGTGAGGTGCTCCTCCCATGAATGGATGGAGATTAGGGATTATGGGTTATTCATGTTTAATTCAACAGTTCTTAGCTCAGTACCTGGCACAAAACAGTTACTGTGGTGGCCAAAGTAATGACCCCACCCCCCACCCCCCACCAATTGCTCATGTCCTATGTTACACAGCACAATTACATAGGAAGGGGGAATTAAGAGTACAGAAGGAATTAATGTTGCTAATCAGCTGATCTTAAAACAAGATTATCCTGGAGTATCTGGAAGAGCCCATGTAATATCAAGCTTTCTTTAAATGTGGAAGAGGGAGGCAGAAGGTTAAGAACCAGAGACGGCGGGTACAATGGCTCATGCCTGTAATACCAACACTTTTGGAGGCCAAGGCAGGAAATTCCCCTGAGTGCAGGAGTTCAAGGCCAGCCCTGACAATATAGTGAGGCCCCATGTCTACCAAAAAAAAAAAAAAAGAAAAATTCACTGAGTGTCACGGTGCTTACCTGTAGTCCCAGCTATTGGGAAGGTTGAAGTGGTAGGATCACTTGAGCCTGGGAGTTTGAGGCTACAATGAGCCATGATAGGACCACTGAACTCCATCCTGAGTGACACAGCAAGGTCCTGTTTCTAAAAGAAACCAGGACATTGGAATCAGGATTCCCTCCATACTAAGGTGCCTACAAAGCATCTCTCTCTGCAAATGAGTAAACATCATCCCCTAACTCCTCACAGAGTGGAGCAGCAGGAAAACTCCCTCACCTCATTTCTGTGTGGCTTGGGAGGCCTGGACAGCCCAATAACCAGTTCCTTGCTGATGAAGCAATCGGGAAATGGCTCGAGTTGAGCTAAGGAGAATTTGGATCCTCCTTTCGGTTCTCAAATAGGCAGGGTAGGGGCCAGGCATGGTGGCTCATACCTCTAATCCTTGCACTTTGGGAGGCCAAGGTGAGAGGATTGCTTGAGGCCAGGAGCTCAAGACCAGCCTGGGCAACATAGCAAGACCCAGGTGGCATGCCCCTGTGGTCCCTGCTACTTGGTAGGATGAGGTGGGAGGATTGATCACTGGATCCCAGGAGTTTCAGGCTTCAGTGAGCCATGATCACACCACTGCACTCCAGCCTGGGTGACAGAGACAGAACATGTCTCAAAAGCTTTAAAAAAAAAAAAAAAAACAAGAGAGACCATAGGCAGGCATCACCACATCTGGCTAATATTTCAATATTCTGTAGAGATGAAGTCTTGCTAAGTTGCCAAGGCTGGTCTAAAACTCCTGGCATCAGGCTGGGGATGAGGGCTCATGACTGTAATCCCAGCACTTTGGGAGGTCAAGGCAGGCAGATCACCTGAGGACAGGAGTTTCAGACCAGTCTGACCAACATGGTGAAACCCCATGTGCACTGAAAGTACAATAATTAGCTAGGCAGTAGTGGCATGTGCCTGTAATCTCAGCTACTCAGGAGGCTGAGGCAGAAGATTCACTTGAACCTGGGAGGCAGAGGTTGCAGTGAGCCCAGATTGTGCCACTGCACTCTACCCTGGGCGACAGAGTGAGACTCTGTCTCAAAAAACAAAAAAACAAAAAAAAAAAACAAAAAACTCCTGGCATCAAGAGATCTTCCTATCTCACCCTCCCAATGTCCTGGGATTATATTTTTGTTTAGAATAATTGAAGACACTTGTTCTTATACTGCTTTAAGGTATAAAGAAAACAAAAAGATAACAAATGGTGAAGGCCGGGCACAGTGGCTCAGCCTAGTTTCCAGAACTTTGGGAGGGTGAGGTGGACAGATCACTTGAGGCCAGGAGTATGAGACCAGCCTAGCCAACATTGTAAAACCCATGAGTACAAAAAAGTAAAAAAATTAGCCAGGCATGGTGGCATGCACCTGTAATTCCCAGCTACTCAGGAGGCTGACGTGAGAGAATCACTTGTGCCTGGGAGGTCAAGGCTATAGTGAACTGTGATGGCATCACTGTGCTGCAGCCTGAGAGACAGAGCAAGCCCCTATCTAGAAAAAAAAATAATGTCAGTGAAGATGTGGAGGAATTGGAACCCACATACATTACTGGTGGGAACATAAAATCGTGTAACCACTTTGGGTATTTCTTTTCTTGTCATTTTTATTGGATTTTTTTAAATCAAGACAGAGTGTCATTATCTTGCCCAGGCTGGTATTGAACTCATGGGTTCAAGCCATCCTCCCAACTAAGCCTCCTGAGTAGCTGGGATTACAGGTGTGAACCATCACACCCAACTGGTGTAGCCACTTTAGAAAACAGTCTGGCAGTTTCTCAAAAGTCTAAATGTACAGTCATTATATAATGCAACAATTTCACTCCAAGACATATATCCCAGAGAAATAAAAATATATGTCCACACAAAAACTTGTACAGCAATCCTCATAGCAGCATTATTTGTAATGGCCAATACATGGAAACAACCCAAATGTCCACCAACTGATGAACAGATAAACAAAATGCAGTGTGTCTCTACCATGGAATATTATTCGGCCATAGAAGGAATGAAATATTGATACACACTATGACATAAAGGAACTTTGAAAACATTGTGCTAAGAGGGAAAAAAGCCACAAAAGATCACATATTATACAAATCTATTTGTCCAGATTAGACAAGTCTATAGTGACAAAAAAATGAATCAATCGTTTCCAAAGACTGGGGGCCAAGGCAGGTGGGGGGGAGTAGGAGGTAGTGGATAAGGAGTGTGGTTTTCTCTATAGGGTAATGAAAGATTCTAAAAGTGACTGTGGTGATTGATGCACAGCTCTGGGAATACTCTAAAACCTACTGAATTTCAGATTTCAATAAATAAAGTGAACGGTATGTGAATCATATTTTAATAAAGCTACTATTTTAAATAATAATAATAAGGGGCTGGGCACAGGTGGTCATGCCTGCCTGTAATCCCAGCAGTTTGGGAGGCTGAAGCAGGAGGATCACTTGAGGTCAGAAGTTTGAGCCCAGTCTGAGCAATCTAGCAAGATCCTGTCTCTATGATAAAAAAAAATAAAAAATTAGCTGGGCATGGTGGCACATGTCTGTAGTCCCAGCTACTTGGGAGACTGACATGGGAGGATTGCTTGAGCCCAGGAGTTTGAAGCTACAGTGACTCATGATCATGTCACTGTACTGCAGCCTGGGTGACAGAACAAGACCCTGTCTCTAAAAAGGAAAGAAGAGAAATGCAAGTTTTTATCACTTTGTGAGTGTAGCCAAGTTTGCGGGGAAATAGACAAGAATAAAAGGGCACTGAATAATGAAGGTGAGTGGCTGGTTAGGCTCATTTGCTAGCTAATCAGCTTCTAAAAAATTTATTAGTAAAGTTACAGCTCTGGGGATAACCACACAGTCAAAGAATGAATGCTAAATTCATTACAAATGCTCATGGTCTTTCTTTACATGCCTTCTAGTGAAAAATTCCTAAGAGCCTGAACAGCAAGTCTGCAACTATAGCAGCTGTTTATTAAAGACTACAAAAAAGAAAAGGAGGCTGGGCATGGTGGCTCACACCTGTAATCTCTACATTTTGGGAGGCCGAGGCAGGCAGTTCACCTTAGGTCAACAGTTCGAGACCAGCCTGGCCAACATGGTGAAACCCCGTATTTACTAAAAATACAAAAATTAGCTGGGTGTGGTCGCATGTGGCTGCAATCCCAGCTACTCAAGAGGCTGAGGCAGGAGAACTGCTTGAGCCCAGCAGCCGGAGGTTGCAGTGAGCCAAAATCACACCATTGCACTCCAGCCTGGGTGACAAAAGCAAGACTCCATCTAAAAAAAAAAAAAAAAGAAGAAGAAGAAGAAATGGCATCTTCTTCAAGAATGACATAGTGTTTCATGATAAAGAAGCTCTAATTTTGCATTTGTGTTGATTTGATTTAGCCAATATGACACCAATCTTGGATAAAGTGCAAACAACACAATTTCATTTTCTCTTTAATTAAAACTGATTAGGTAGTGTAATATCAATTGTGATCTTATTAAAAACTGATCAGATAAAAAAATTATGGAATGATGGAGCCAATAAGATGTTACAACCTCTTCCAAGGAGAATTTAAAAATCCACACATATCTGAGATGATCAAATATGAGGAAATATACTGAATTACTATATTTAAAAATAAACTGATTATATAGCCAACAACAACTGGACAGAGGTCTCCTCATCCACAGCCACATAAACTCGATCATGTGGCTATGCAGTTGCAAGGTCTGCATAGCCTAGAAGGGATTGGTCTGACTTGAGATTTCATTTCATTTGTATTTGTATTTTGAGACAGGGTCCCACTCTGTCACCCAGGCTGGAGTGCAGTGATATAATCATAGCTAACTGCAGCCTTGACCAACTGGGCTCAAGAGATGCTCCTGCCTCAGATGCCCCAGAACCTGGGAATACAGGCAAGTACTATCATGTAGTGCCATTTTTTTTTTTTTTTTTTACTTTGGTAGAGAGAGAACTCTTGCTATGTTGCCCAAGCTGGCCTCAAACTCCTAGCCTCAAGAGATCTGCCTACCTCAGCCTCCTGAGTAACTTCCTATTTATTCCTTTAATAAAAAGAAATTTTATTAAATTTCTTTCTTTTATTTTTGTAGAGAGGAGGTCTTGCTATGTTGCCCAGGTTGCTCTCCAACTCATGGCCTTAAACATACTCCCATCTCTGCCTGTCAAGCTGTTGGAACTATAGGTGTGAGCCACTGCACCTGGCCTGACTTGAGATTTCTTTAGTCTTGCATCCTTTACTTGGTAGGACTGGGAAAGGCAGTAATGTTTTTTTTTTTAATTACTTAATAATTCAATTAGACTCAAACTCAACCTTGACTCCTGCATTCTCTCACAGTTCACATCCAGTCTGCCAGGAAATCCTGTTGACTGACTTCAACGTGTATTCAGGCTCTGACCATCTCTCACCACCACCATGACCCTGGTCAGGACCAATACCATCTCCCACCTGGATGCTGCCACAGCTTGGCCCCCATGCTTCTACCCAAATCTTCCCACAGTCTTTCTCAACTCAGCAGCCAGGGGGTGCTTTTAAATCAGGAGACAGATCATGTTGTCTCTCTGCTCAGAACCACTCTGCGGTTCCCATTTTAGTCAGAGTAAAAGCCAAAGCCACACCAATAGCCTCCCAGGGCTTATGTGATCTGTACTGATCCCAGCCCAGCCCTGGCTCCTACGCTACCTCTCTCCCTCTATCTCTTTGCTCCACTGGCCTCCTTCCAGAGCCTCATACACACCAGGGAGTTTCCTCCTAATGCCTTTATCCTGTTGATTCAGCCTACAATGCTCTTCCCTCACCACCCTGGCCAGCTCCATCACCTGCTTCAAACTTTTGCTCAGTTTTCATTTATTACCACTCTACTTAACATTGCCATCTGTCCCCATTCCCATCATGCTCATTTCTTTCTATCTTTTTGAAACAGGGTCTTGCTCTATTGACCAGGATGGAGTACAGTGGTGCAATCATAGCTCACAGCAATCTCAACCTCTCAGGCTTAAACAATCCTCCTGCCTTGGCCTGCCTAGGAGCTGAGACTACAGGTGCATGCCACAACACCTGGCTAATTTTTCTGCCTCCTGGGTTCAAGCCATTCTCCTGCCTCAGCCTCCAGAGTAGCTGGGACTACATACAGGCGCCTGCCACCACACCAAGCTAATTTTTGTTTTTTAGTAGAGACGGGGTTTCACCATGTTGGTCAGGCTGGTCATGAACCCCTGACCTCAAGTGATCCACCCACCTTGGCCTCCCAAAGTTCTGGGATTACAGGCTGAGACATTGCGTCCAGCCCCAACCACATTTTTTGAGGCTTGGAACTTTCAGCCTCACCCACTGAACTCCAGGAGGCAAAAGGGGCTGGAGATTAATTTAACCACCAATGGCCAATGATTTTATCAATCATGCCTCCATAAAAACCCTAAACAATAGGGTTTGGAGAGCTTCCAGGTTGCTGAACACAAGGAGGTGCTGGGAGGGTAGGGTGCCAAACAGAGGGAATGGAAGTGCCCCTCCCCACTTACCTTACCCTGTGCATCTCTTTCATTGGCTGTTCCTGAGATGCAGCCTTTACATTGAGCCAGTAATAGAAAATAAACTGGCCAGATGTGGTGGCTCATGCCTGTAACCCCAGCACTTTCCCAGATCTTTCTACTTTGGCCTCCAAAGTAGCTGGGACCACAGGCATGCATTAGTGTACCATCATACCTGGCTATTTTTTTTTTTTTATTTTTAGTAGAGACACGGTCTCACCATGTTTCCCAGGCTTGTTTCAAACTTCTGGGATCAAGCAATCCTTTTGCCTCAGCGTCTCGGCGTGCTGGGGTTACAGGTGTGGGCCACTGCGCCTGGCCTGGAACCTTGCTACTTGTATAGTCTGCAGAACTGTGAGCCAAATGAACCTTTTTCTTTATAAACTACCCAGCCTCAGGTGTTTCCTTATAACAATGGAAAATGGACTAATATAGGAGTCCTATGCTAACATTTACCAGACTGTGATGAGCACAATGACATAAGTATAGAGTGGGACTGAAACGCTCCCAAGGGGTTTCTTGTTGCATCATAGAGTGGGGTGAGACATCTCAGCTGAGGCCAAAGATGAGCAAAAATGAGAGTTAAAGAGTGATGACGGGGGTAGGGAAAGGGTTTCCTGAAGGACCAATAAAGTCCCCCAAGGAAACTGACATTCCATGTGGCTGCAGGGTAGGGATATGGGGAGGGTGGTGCAGGATAAAACTGGGAAGGTGAGTGGAAGCCAGCTCTTACCAGGTCCTGTGGCCAAATTAATTTGGACTTTGCCTTAAAGGCAATGGGAAGTCAGCAGCAGGTTTTAATCAAGGACCATTTTGACCCAAATTTGCCTTTTAGGAGAATTCCTCTGGCTTCAGTGAACAGGCTGAAGTGAGCAAGCCTAGAAGTCAGGAAGACAACTGGAGGCCCTTACAATAAACCAGTGTAAAAGAGAATAAGGCCAGGCATGGTGGCTCCTGCCTGTAATCTCAAAACTTTGGAAGTCCAAGGGGGGTGGACAGCTTGATCCCAGGAGTTTGATACCAGCCTGAGCAATGTGGTGAAACCACATCTCTACAAAAAACACAAAAATTAGCTGGGTGTGGTAGCTTATACCTGTGGTCCCAGCTACCCCAGAGGCTGAGGTGGGGGGATAGCTTGAGCCTGGGAGGTTTAGACTGCAGTGAGCTGAGATCACACAACTGAGCTCCAGCTTGGGCAACAGAAGGAGACTGTCTCAAAAAAAAAAAAAAATCCCATTCTTCACCTATTACTGCCCTAATGTTCTCATAAGTACCTTGGTGACACAATGAATTCAACTGTCATTGCAATTCAGCAATCTACACATTTAAGTTTGTGTTTGATTTTCAATAATATCAGCCCTACAGATACAAGAAATAAGGAATGTGTTCGGGCTATCCTGGAAGCTCTCTGGATCCTAGACCATGACTTACGCTAAGAGGTAAAGACTTGAGCTTTTTGTTTTTCTCTCTGTAAGTGCTCAAGTGCAGCGGTCCCCAATTTTTTTGGCACCAGGGACCAGTTTTGTGGAAGAAAATTTTTCCACAGACTGGGGGAAGTGGGTCAGTTTTTGGAATGTTTCAAGCAACGTACATTTATTGTGTACTTTATTTCTATTATTATTACATTGTAGTATATAATGAAATAATTATATAACTCACCATAATGTAGAATCAGTGGGAGTCCTGAGCTTGTTTTTCTGCAACGAGACAGTCCCATCTGGGGGTGATGGGAAACAGTGACAGATTATCAGGCATTAGATTCTCATAAGGACAGAGCAAGCTAGATCCCTCACATGCACAGTTCACAATAGGATTCGTGCTCCTATGAGAATCTAAAGCTGCCACTGACCTGACAGGAGACAGAGATCAGACAGTAATGTGGGGAGTGGCTGTAAATACAGATGAAGCTTCACTCACCCATCTGCTGCTCACCTGCTGTGTGGCCCAATACAGGCCTGTCATCCAGGGATTAGGGGGCCCTGTTCAAGTGCATCCAAAAGGACCCTTCCCACACCAGTCTTCATAGTGGTCAAATGCAGCAACCACTTAGCTCCCAAGGCATATGCCTCAGCTGGCATTTAATCACAATCAACAGTAAGTGATAGCTTGAGTCATTGTGAGGTCACTTTCTGGAAATCACCAGCATCACATTTCCCATTGGTAAGGAGCTCAGCACTGCCCCTTGGATAACCAAACCTATGCCCAAATCCCATGTGTGTGGGTCTAGCTCCTGGGACCCTTCCTAGCATCAATTCTGTATTTGTAGGAGCCCAATCGGGGGATATAAACCACTCAAAAGTTTAAAGTGGTAAAATTTAAAATAAAAAAATTATTATAACAGGGCAACAGCATAATGAGAGATGGGCTACCAAAAAGTAAAGAGAACACTAGAGAACACAGGACTAGCAGATGCCAGGCATGGTAGCTCCTACTTATAATTCCAGCAATTTGGAAAGCCAAGGCATGAGGATTTCTTGACGCCAGGAGTTTGAGAGCAGCCTGGGAAGCACAGTGAGGCCATCTCTAAAACAAACAAACAAAAAAGCTCCATCTCAAAAATAAATAATAAAAAAATAAAATAAAATAAAATAAAATTAGCTTTTCATGCTCTTGTACATCTGTAGTCCCAGCTCCTTGGGAGGCTGAGGTGGGAGTATTGCTTGAGCCCAGGAGTTTGAAGCTACAGCAAGCCATGATCACACCACTGCACTGCAGCCCGAGTGACAGAGCAAGACCCTGTCTCTAAAAAGGAAAGAAAAGAAATGCAAGTTTTTATCACTTTGTGAGAGTAACAAAGTTTGAGGAGAAACAGAACAACAAAAGAGCACTGAATGGTGAGGGTGGGTGGCTGGTTAGGCTCTGTTCCTAGCTAAGTGGTTTCTGAAAAATTCATTAGTAAAATCATAGCTCTGGGGGTCAGTCATGCAGTCAAATGATGAATGCTAAATCCATTACAAATGCCCATCTTCTTTCTTTACATGACTTCTAGTGAAAAAATTCCCAAGTGCCTAAATAGCAAGTGGTCTGAAATGATAGCAGTTGTTTATTAAAGAAATAACATCTCAGCCAGGTGCGGTGGCTCACATCTGTAATCCTAGCACTTTGGGAGGCTGAGGCGGGCAGATTACCTGAGGTCAGGAGTTTGAGAACAGCCTGGCCAACATGGTGAAACCCCCGCCTCTACTCAAAATACAAAAAATTAGCTGGGTATGGTAGTGAGTGACTTAATCCCAGCTACTCGAGAGGCTGAGGCAGGAGAATCACTTGAACCTGGGAGGCGGAGGTTGCAGTGAGCCGAGAACGCACCACTGCACTCCAGCCTGGGCAACAAGAGCAAAACTCTGTCTCAGACAGAAAAAAAAAAAAAATCTATTTTTAAAAACCATGAGTCAAATATTATTTTCCTCCCTCCCATTTTACAGGTGTGCAACCTGAAGAACAGAGAATTTAAGTAATTTTCCCAAGTGGCAGAGTGCAGATTTAAATCCTATCACTTTGGCCTCAGAGTTTGTGCTTCATTTTATTATTTTAAATTCATCTTTTTTTAAAACCAAGAGACTTATGCAAAATTGTGCTAGGATTCAAAAAAAGCCCTGACCATGGGTGCAGGCAGGGCTCACGCTGCATTTTCTTTACTTATTTACGTCCTGTTTGGATGGAGACATGATGACAGGAGCTCCCTCCACCACCGTGCACCAGAAAGGAAAGTGAAGAGAAGCACAGGGAAGCCAGTCTTGCCATGTTTGAGCAACTGAACCAATGTCAGCCTCAGCCTACCAGCACAATTAATTTTATGTGAGAAAAACAGGCATCTCCCTATTTGGAAAATCACACTGGCTGCAGCAGCAAACAATCGTCAAGTTATTCCTGGTTAACATTATTCCTACAGCCCTAATCTCTACACCCACCCCCCCCCCCAAAAAAAAAGATGATCCTAATGCAGGTATTTCCTTTTGCATTCATGAGGAAATGGAAGAAATATCCATATTTGACAGTTGGTTGGGAACTGTATTTGGTATTGTGTGAAGTATTTTAATATTGTAAACATGAAAGGTGAGAATCCTGGAGACCCTATGGGCATAGAGAAAAGGAAGTACATTAGAGGGTGTTGTAGGAAATACTTTCATTCCAGGCACTGCTGTTTAAACTACCCCCAAACTTTCTTTCCTTAAAAGAACAGAAAAAACAAAGAGGGCAAAAGATCAAGAAACATTCCATGTCATCCTCTGCACTCTTATTTGTTGTAATAAAGGAAAAGCATTTTAGGGATTTTCTTGAGTGCAGTTTATGATGTGATCCAAGTTATTTATTTTCTGTTAATGATTTGGAAAATTTTAATTAAAAACATTCAAAAATTTAGCTTTACCAAAGGTAGCTGTTCACATGTAAAACTAGTTTGGTTAACTTCATCTGTATAAACACATAGCTAGTAAACTGACATAACTATTAAACTGGAGAATCAACAGAAACATGCCAAGGACTGGCCCTTACCTTCCACAGTGACCTCAATTTCAGGAATCTTTTAATTACTCTCAGGGCTTCATCATCTTTTTGGGGACTGAAAGTTGTAAAATGAGCACAGAATTACCTTAATATATTGTAGGAAAAAAATACAGAAGAAGATGCTTTATAAGAGTATTAACATTCATACAGTTTGACTCTTTTCAAACAAACCTGCAGAATTAAACTTGTAGTGGAATCCTCCACAGGTGGCTCAAAAAAGCCATGGAAACATGAATAAAGTGGGATTGCAAATGTGACATTTCCAATCAAATGCTGTTTTTTTTTTTAAAAAAAAAAAAAAAAGAAAAAGAGGTCCATTAAATAAAATACCTTAAAAAGCCAAAAAACTAACTGCAAGTCCCACAAAGATATTGGCCAATGATTCTGTATGATTTAAAAAATGCTGATAAAGTATGTCTTAATGCAGTGAAATATCATAGGAAGTACATGTAATCTCTTACCTTTAGTGTTTATTTTACTAGCCATTACAGGAGGCAAGTAGGAAATAATTAGTTCAAGTCAAGAAAGAAAACCAAAAAAATGTTACAGTAGCCAGTACAATAGTGGTCTCACAGCTAGTAAAACAGTTGTGATATGATGAGGGATTTTTCCAAAAGGAGTTCACAGGGTCACCCTGCAATGTGACAATAATTCCTATTATTGTGGACAAAAACCCTGATTTTTCCTTCCCATGACTGGTAAGTAATTATATGAAGAGTAAATTACTTCATGAAAAAGAAAATTAACACTAGTGTACTTTCTTCAGCCACTAAAATTCTGCAGAAACGTAGATATAGTAAGAAACTCAATCATCACATCAGGCCCAGTGTGGTGGCTCACACCTGTAATCCCAGCACATTGAAAGGCCGAGGTGGTTGGGTTACCTAAGTTCAGGAGTTTGAGACCAGCCTGACTAACTTGGTGAAACCCTGTCTCTACTAAAAACACAAAAATTAGCCAGGCATGGTGGTGCATGCCTGTGATCCCAGCTACTCAGGAGGCTGAGGCAGGAGAATCGCTTGAACCCGGGAGGCAGAGGTTGCAGTGAGTGGAGATTGTGCCATTGGACTCTAGCCTGGGCAACAAGGGTGAAACTCTGTCTCAAAAAAACAAAAAAAGAAAAGAAACTCAATCATCAATATTTAATCACTCACAAGATTGACCCAGGAATAACAGAGTAGATAAAACCCAGCAAATTAAACTACATTCAAGTACTTAGGCCTACTGTGAGCCAACATAGTGCCTCTCAACACTGTGGAGGCGGTGGTCACTATTCTTGCACTGATGAAGACGGCTAAGTACAGGATGGGAGACTGCAGGGGCTATGGAGAGTGCCAGGACTGCAGTTCAGAGCCAGGCTTTTTCATCAAGGACTTACAGCCAAGCCTGTCACCTCTAGCTAGAAAAACATTTTAGTAGAAATGTCATTTTACTGTTTTAATTCCAGAAATGACTACAGTGGCAAATAGAACTTACTTTTTTGTTGTTGTTGTTGTTGCTGTTGAGGCAGAGTCTCACTCTGTTGCCCAGGCTGGAGTGCAGTGCTGTGATCTCAGTTCATAGCAGCCTCTGCTTCCCAGCTTCAAGTGATTCTCCTGCTTCAGCCTCCTGAGTAGCTGGGTTTACAGGTGCCAGCCATGATGCCCAGCTAATTTTTTATATTTTTAGTAGAGACGGGGTTTCACCATGTTGGCCAGGCTGGTCTTGAACTCCTGACCTCAGGTGATCTGCCCTCCTCAGCCTCCCAAAGTGCTGGGATTACAGGTGTGAGCCACCATGCCCAGCTTAGAACTTACTTTTTAACAACAAACTTCATTTTATTACTCCCACGGATGATACCTTCAAGTCATGGAATTCCAAAGCAGGTAGGGCTTCGAAAGGGAATCCCCTCTGGCAAGCCTTCTACACATAGGAACTCGGGGTTTGATTGAAACACAGAATATGGTACTTTTACTGCCTCAATGAGTCCAAGAGCTTGAGCTGAAAGTGGAAGAGAAGACAATTTGTGGAAGATAAAATTTGACACAGACATTCTTTTATTTGTATCTGCATTCTCAAGTACATTATGGACAAGTTCCCTACAATTGAGCAATATCCACTTCATATTGAAGGCATTTCACTTAGGTTACTGGGCAAATCTGAAGAACAAGCCTAAAGTACTTTTAAAAGAAACATTTAACACTTTTTTTTTTCAGCTGGAGTCTTGCTCTGTCACCCAGGTTGGAGTGGAGTGCAGTGGCTTGATCTCACCTCACTGCAATCTCCACCTCCAGCCTCAGCTTCCCAAGTAGCTGGAACTACAGGCACACACCACCACACCCAGCTAATTTTTTTCTATTTTTAGTAGAGAGGGGGTTTTACTATGTTAGTTAGCCAGGTTGGTCTCTATCTCCTGACCTTGTGATCTGCCCACCTTGGCCTCCCAAAGTGCTGGGATTACAGGCATGAACCACTGCACCCAGCCCATTTTAACACTTTCAATCAAAAGGAGAGTTATGTTATTAATCAAAATGACCTCTGTGTTCTAAGGAGAAACTACCAAAGGCCATTCCATACAGCAGTGGCCCCTGGTAGCCTTTGCATTCTCATCAAGAGGCAGGGTAGCTGTTCGAAGACAGGTGGTTTCTATGATGCAACTAAGCAGCGCTCAGTAAGTTCGAGTCATCAGATGCAGAGTAGTCAGGATTTCTGATAAGGGATAGGAAACATCAACACCAGGTATCGAGATAGTGGACAGAAATGCCCTGGGAATGCTATGAGTGCTCCCCACTCTTTGCTCCTTTCTCCATGACAGACACGCCCAATCAACTGAAACACACTTTCTTGCTGAGCCTCCTCAGAATCATTCAAGACAGCATTCCAGGAAACTGCTGTCAACAAATCTAAGTATTTGCCACACGGGTGTCAGCCAGATTAGAAATACAGACAGTGGAATGACATCCCAATGCCTCCCTTCCTCTCCCATTCTGACACATGAGAAAGCCGAATCCAAGAGAAATGAAGTTGTCTGCTTGGTTTCAATAGCAAGCGTAGTAGTAGAAATACACCAAAGCCTGGCTTTTGGGACCTTCTTTTTAGGTCCTGAAATTCTATAATTCATTCAGATATGACCCTTCATTGATATGTTATTAAAGACATACTGTAGGGGAAGGGACTATGAGTCCCTTCATGTTCATATGAAAGAGTGAGACTTTTGTCTCCAAAAAATAAAAAATACAAAAATGTTTCAATTAAAAAAAAGGTGTGATGGTCTTTGGCAATGTTTAAATAGAAATAAGAGTATCCCTTTCAAATAAACTGACACTTTCTGAACATGTAATAACCAGGGTCACAGAATCACAGAGGCCAGTGAGATTAAAAAGTTCCCCTGTGAATGCCAGTGACACATACACCACCAGGAAAATGTCCTGTTCCTGTCCCTCCAACTAATCCACAGCAATATAATGTCAGCAAGTGCCTCCCCTACTTCCAGGCAGCCACAGGGAAAGTGGAGAGAAAAGAAACCATTCCCTGTGTCACTGATAAGTGAGGCTCAATGGGAAACACAAGGCATGAGGGGCATCCAAAGGTGGGTGACAATTTCAGTGTCTCCCCTTTGTCTTCCTGCTTCAGGTATCATCTGCATCTTCTGCTCATTTCATGATAAGGAAGGAGGCAGCAATAGCATGTCTGCTGTGAAAATGTGGGACTACTCATTGGGCATCATGGAACTTAATGTAGAAGTTTATACAATCCTGGGAAGCTTTCAGACTTGGTCTCCTAACATGTACATATAAGTTTTCTAAGGCTCTTGACCAGGCAGTAGACTGTGAACTGCCAGGGGTTCACACAGGTTTTCTAGGGTCTTCACACCGCTAACCACAGTTATGGTAACTCCTTCATTTCCTTTTTAAACAAATGTTTTCCCAATTATCCCTTTAAAATTGGGCAGTTCAGGCTGGGCACGGTGGCTCACCCCTGTAATCCCAGCACTTTGGGAGGCCAAGACGGTTGTACCACTTGAGGTCAGGAGTTTGAGACCAGCCCAGGCAACATGGTAAAACCCTGTCTCTATTAAAAAACACAATAATTAGCTGAGCATGGTGGTGGACACCTGTAATCCCAGCTGCTCGGGAGGCTGAGGCACAAAAATCCCTTGAGCCCAGGAGGCAGAAGTTTCAGTGAGCCGAGATTGTGCCACTGTGTTCCAGCCTGGGCAACAGAGCAAGGC
This sequence comes from Homo sapiens, assembly GCF_000001405.40. Lineage (NCBI taxonomy): Eukaryota > Metazoa > Chordata > Mammalia > Primates > Hominidae > Homo > Homo sapiens. Next base: position 50,105,128 of record NC_000011.10, read on the forward strand.
TCCATCTCAAAAAAGAAATCGGGTGGTTTCGGGCCTCTGATATAGCAAGTGAGTGTGCATAATGATTAGTGGCAATGAGCTAATAAACATTAACTAGGCCATGGTGGTTTTTTAAAATCATGATTGGCTGGGAGAGGTGGCTCACACCTGAAATCCCAGCACTTTGCGAGGCAGAGGTGGGCGGATCAAGAAGTCAGGAGATCGAGACCAGCCAGGCCAACATGGTGAAATCTCATCTCTACTAGAAATACAAAATTAGCCGGGTATGATGGTGAGCGCCTGTAATCCCAGCTACCCGGGAGGCTGAAGCAGGAGAATGGCTGGAATCTGTAAGGCACAGGTTGCAGTGATCTGAGATCACACCACTGCACTAGAGCCTGGGCGACAGAGCGAGACTCTGTCTCAAAAAAAAGAGGAAAAACTGATAAAACAGGTGCCCCCCTAAAATTTGAACGTTATATGCAAGACTGGGTTAAAATATGTTTAAAACACATCTAAAAAATGTATGACCGGTAATCTCAGCACTTTGGGAGGCTGAGGCGGGCAGATCACGAGGTCAGGAGATCAAGACCATCCCGGCTAACACGGTGAAATCCCGTCTCTACTAAAAAATACAAAAAATTAGCCAGGCGTGGGGGAGGGCGCCTGTAGTCCCAGCTACTCTGGAGGCTGAGGCAGGAGAATGGCATGAACCTGGGAGGCAGAGCTTGCAGTGAGCAAAGATCGCTCCACTGCACTCCAGCCTGGGTGACAGAGTGAGACTCCATCTCAAAAAAAAAAAAAAAAAAGTATGAACAGCATAGGTGTGATAATATGCTAAAAAAATCTATGAGGGGAGTGGACAATCAAGACAGTGGTCCTCCTTCCCTGCTGCCTTTACAGTTTGATTTCATCCTTGGCTTTTCATAATGGACATTTGTAAAGAGGGGAGATTTGCATCCAGGTCTAGGATTACAAGTATAGGTTTTTGTTTTTTTGTTTGTTGAGATAGAGTCTCACTCTATCACCCAGGCTGGAATGTAGTGGTGCAATCTTGGCTCACTGTAACCTCTGCCTCCTGGGCTTAAGCAATTCTCCTGCCTCAGCCTTCAAAGCAGCTGAGATTACAGGTGCCCACAACCATGCCCAGCTAATTTATGTATTTTTTGAAGAGATGGGGTTTCACCATGTTAGCCAGGGTAGTCTTGAACCCCTGACCTCAAGTGGTCCACCTCCCTCGGCCTCCAAAAGTGCTGGGATTATAAGCAAGAGCCACTGTGCCCCACCTGGGTACAACTATTTTAAGACCACTTTCAGCACAAGTGCTATTTTTGTTTAATTTTTCAGATGGAGTCTCACTCTGTCACCCAGGCTGGAATGCAACGGTACAATCTCGGCTCAATGCGACCTCTGCCTCCCAGGTTCAAGTGATTCTCCTGCCTCAGCCTCCTGAGCAGTTGGAACTACAGGCACCTGCCATGACGCCTGGCTAATTTTTTGTATTTTTAGTAGATACTGGGTTTCATCATGTTAGCCAGGCTGGTCTCAAACTCCTGACCTCAGGCGATCCACCTGCCTTAGCCTCCCAAAATGCTAGGATTACAGGCATGAGCCACCGCGCCTGGCCACAAGTGCTTTTTTATTAAATACTTCTGTGGTTCCCCTTCCCCATACAAAAAGGAAAAAAAAAAACAAAAAGGAAAGGGGAAGCTATTGTTCAGGGCCAGTAAGGGGTTTATCTAGCTTTGTGGCATAAAAGAACCCATAATACTTAGTAAATTTAATAATATTTAATAAATTTATTAATATTTAACAGCATTTAATACATTTATTAATATTTAACAATACTTAATGGATTTGATAAATTTATTAATATTTAACATTACTTAATAAAATTAATCCATTGTCTAGCCCTTGCATCTGAGAATTATTGCTGTAACAAAACACCAAGGACAACTAGGCCCTCCTACCTCCCTGTAGCCTCAACTAGATAAATGCAAACATGTTGGCTCATGCCTGTAATCCCAGCACTTTGTTAGTTTTTTTTTGTTTTTTGTTTTTTTTGAGCTGGAGTCTCCCTCTGTCACTCAGGCTGGAGTGCAGTGGTGTGATCCCGGCTCACTGCAACCTCTGCCTCCTGGGTTCAAGTGATTTACCTGCCTTAACCTCCTGAGTAGCTGGGACTACAGGAGTATGCCACCACGCCTGGCTCATTTTTTGTATTTTTAGTAGAGAAGAGGTTTCACTGTGTTGTCCAGGCTGGTGTCGAGCTCCTGAGCTCAGGCGATCTGCCTGTCTCAGCCTCCCAAAGTGCTGGTATTACAGGCTCACCATGCCCAGCAATCCCAGCACTTTGGAAAGCCAAGATAAGATCTGTTGAGCCCAGGAATTTGAGAGTAGCCTGGGCAACATAGGGAAACACCGTCTCTACAAAAATTAAAATACTAGCTGGGCTTGGTGGCATGTACCCGCAATCCCACCTACTTGGGAGGCTGAGGTGGGAGGATCACTGGAGCCTAGAAGGTTGAGGCTGCAGTGATCTATGATTGTGCCATTGCACTCCAGCCCAGACAACAGGATGAGACCTTATCTCTTAAAAAATAAAAAGATAAATGCAAACGTGAATCACCTACAGAGTTAAAAGGCCACAAATGTTCCAATGTTAGCAGGGAGCCTAGGAGGGAAGAAGCCTCCACAGCTGCCCCAGTCAACCCAACTAAGAGAAAGAGGTTGGCGGCCAGAGAAATAGGTAAGGCAAGCCTTCATTTGAGCCCATCAGCTTCTGCAGAAAAAATATTCCATGGTCATGGGATGACCTGACGGACTGATGCAAACTGTCCACACAGCTAGTTTATCTTTGCCTCCTCTCTAGATCCAAAATGTACTGGAAACGAATGCCATATGAGATCTATCCCTGCCCTCCTTTTCACACACCCTTTCTAGGAGAGCCCACACAAGCTGATGACCCTAGAATTCTGGTTAACATAAATCTAGATATCATGCTAGATAGAGCTCTGTCTTTCCAACTATCTTTTAGACATCTTTACCTGGATGTCCTGAGCATCCTATGTCCAAAGATTAATTCCTTCTCCCCAACAACATATGTTCTTTGTTTCTCCACTTTCCCTGTCTCAGTTAATTACACTGCCATGCACCAAGATACCTGAGCCAGAAACCTGAAGGGCATCCTCCAGTCCTCCTTCTGCCCACCTCCTGTTTCTATTCACTGTGTCAGCAATAAGCTGTCCTGATATTTTACCTCCTAAATATCTCTTAAAACCTCACTTCCCCTTCATATTCACTGGCACCCCCTATTCAGCATCTCATCACTCAATAAACAATATTTAATGAGTATAAAGCATAGCTAGGTGTTTTAAAAGAGAATAAAAACAGTGTGATCTTTGTTTTCTAGTGGCTTAACATCTAGTTACTTTTTTCTTTTTTTTTTTTTTCTGAGATGGAGTCTTGCTCTGTTGCCCAGGCTGGAGTACAGTGGCGTGATCTCAGTTCACTGCAACTTTTGCCTTCCAGATTCAAGCAATTCTCCTGCCTCAGCAAGTAGCTGGGATTACAGGTGCCCACCACCACACCCAGCTAATTTTTCTATTTTTAGTAGAAATGGGATTTTACCATGTTGACCAGGCTGGTCTTAAACTTCTGACCTTGTGATCCACCAACCTTAGCCTCCCAAAGTGCTAGGATTACAAGCATGAGCCATGGTACCAAGCCAACATCTAGTTATTTCTTATCTGAACTATTCAGCTGTACTCTTGCCTCTTACCATTCATTCCCTAAACAATACCCAGAGTGTCTCCTCCTCAAAACTTAAATTAGATCATTTAATTCAGGGGTCAGTAAACTTTTTCTATAAAAACAAGACAGTGAATATTTTAGGTTTCTGGGTCATATGTTTCTGTTGAAACTACTCAACTCTGCTCTTGTAACATTAAAAACAGCCCTGGACAATATGTAAACCCATGGGTGAGACTGTGTTCCAATATGGTTTATTCATTAAAATAGGCAGCAGGACAGATTAGACCCATGGGCCGTAGTTTGCCAACCCCTGATTTAATTGCAATGCTTCTTACTCCATTGGATTTAATCCAGATTCCTTTCCATGGCCTAGAAGGTGCTCCATCCTCATCTGAATATTACTTGCTCCTCTAGGCTCCACTATGCTCCAGCCACCCTGACCAGCTTTATGGTGCTTAAACACTATGTCAAGTCTGTTTACATCTCAGGTCGCTGCACTTGACATTCTACCCAGCAGGACCAGACCAGATCTTGACCAGATCTTCTTCAAGCTGCCTCAGCTCAAATGTCAGAGAGGTCTTCACTGCCCACCCCAATAGGTCAGTACCCATTCCAATGCCCAAACATTCTAACTCCCATAGCTCTATTTATTTTCTTCAAATTACTTATCACCATCTGAAAAAAATATCATTTGTTGCATGTATATAGCCTGCTTCCCCACCACCACACCACCACAAGAATGGAACCTCCCCGAGAATAGAGACTGAGTTACTCATTCTCCCCTAGTTCCCAGGACCTAGATATGTGCCTGGCACTTAGCAGGGGCTCAAAAAATATCTGTTATCTGAACTGTTATTGCCCCTAGTTTCACTCCCTTCAACTCACTGGTATCTTCACTACCACTAGTCATCTTTCAAAAATACAAATGGGGCCAAATACAATGGCTCACACCTGTAATTGCAGCACATTGGGAGCCTAAGGCAGGAGGATCTCCTGAATCTAGGAGGGTGAGGCTGCAGTGAGCCATGATCATGCCACTGCAGTCTAGCATAGGAAACAGAGTAAAACCCTGTCTCAAAAAAAAAAAAAAAAAAATTACCATTGTGTGGTGGTACACACCTGTAGTCCCTGCTACTTGAGTGGCTGAGGCAAGAGGATCACTGAGCCCAAGAGTCTGAGGTTACAGTGAGCTATGATTGTGACACTGCATTCATGCCTGGGCAACAGAACAAGACTCTGTCTCAAAAAAAGAGAAAAAAGTGGGCTGGGAGTGGTAGCTCATGCCTGTAATCCCAACACTTTAGGAGGCCGAGGCAGGTGGATCACCTGACATCAGGAGTTGAGACCAGACTGGCCAATATAGGGAAACCCCATCTCTACCAAACATACAAAAATTAGCTAAATATGGTGGTACATGCCTGTAGTCCCAAGTACTTCAGAGGCTGAGGCAGGAGAATCACTTGAACTCAGGAGGCAGAGATTGCAGTGAGCCGAGATTGTGTCACTATACTCCAGCCTGGGAGCCTGGGTGGCAGATTGAGACTCCATCTGAAAAGAAAAATAAAAGAAAAAGTAAAATACAAATGAATCATTGAATCATGTCACTCTCCTGCTTAAAATATTTTGATGGCTCCCCACTGGCTTTAAGATACAAATGCAAATTAAGTGGCAAGATCACTACAGCTCTTATCACACCTTCCCACACTCTTCCAGTGGTAGACTGAGGTCTAAGTGGCAAGGACCAACTCCTGTTTATCTTTTGATCTCAGGTGGTCAGCACAGTACCAGGAACACTGTTGGTATTCCATGAATGGAGAATGAAATCATTCAACAGTAGTACAACAACTACCACAAAGCAGAAATCTAATGCAATAACTCAGTAAGTAACCATTTTAAAGGCAATGAAGCAAGGTTTTGCACAACACTCTTTGTTTTCTTTTCTTTTTTTTTCCCGAGACACAGTCTTGCTCTGTCACCCAGGCTGGAGTGCAGTGGTGTGATCTCAGCTCACTGAAATTTCCACCTCCTGGGTTCAAGCAATTCTGCTGCCTCAGTCTCCCGAGTAGCTGGGATTACAGGCACGCACCACCATACGGGCTAATTTTTGTATTTTTAGTAGAGACAAGATTTCACCATGTTGGCCAGGCTGGTTTTGAACTCCTGACCTGGTGATCTGCCTGCCTCAGCCTCCCAAAGTTCTGGGATTACAGGCGTAAGCTACTGCACCCAGCCTCTTTCTTTTCTTTGGAAGTTACTTTTGTGGGGGCTATGCTTATAACTATGAATCTGACTTTGGATTTTGCCACGAAGATTTTACCTGGCAGGCAGCCACTTACAACTTTCTATAAGAATGAAGGGAGGAGGCAGGAAGATAAGTCATACAAATCTATCATGCTGTTTCTTGTGATTGGCTCTGGTAAAAGGGTTAGGAAAAGAGACATAACACGCAGGCTAAAATGCAACTTAGGGATTCTCCATAGATTCCAAGTGTCTACATTCTCCTTGTCACCTATTAGCAAAGAAAACCCAATGCTGGCTGGTTTGCTGTATAAAATAATCTAAGAGATTCACGGAATTTGCTCAGGATGATTTCACCAATAGAATGGAAATTGTTCCTTCTAGAAGAATTTCCATTAGCCCTTTGAAATCCTTCAACATTCATTAAAGCCAAAGAGTTTTCACCTAATTTAATCTGATGGGTATGTGACCAGAGTCCTTCTAGGGAATACAGACTCCCAGACTATTCAGCTGGAAAGTGAGGAGGGAATTTACTACTCAAAATCAAAGGGAAATAAAAAGAGGCCAACCTAGAATGTCATTATTCTTGCTTGGTGAGGAGGGGAATGGATTCCAGAGTTATTCCATGACATTTACATGACCTCCTTATTAGCATCTAAAAGCTTCCAGTGCTGGATGCAGCCAGCTACAATCTCTTCTAATGTAATAAAATCTGCTTCAGTGAAGCTTAGGCAGAGCCATCCCCAGAATCCAGAAATAATAGGCTATAAATTACTGGATCTCCCATTTGATATCATGAAGTATAAGCACAGTCCTGTGTGACCATTAACCTAAGCCCAGGTAGGACCTTGTTTACTAGAGTATTAGGCATGGGTTGGGGCAACGATTCTAACCAGATAAATTGGCTCCAGTGAGGGCAGGTTTGCAATCCAAGGCACGGCATGCATAGGGCTGGTGAAATTCAGGGTGATTGAAGCAAAAGCTTCAGAACAAGACCACATCTGCGGGTAGAGCAGAAAACTCTCAAGAGATGAATCTTTTTAAGAGTGAGGCAGAGCTACATAGTAGTTTTAGGAGATCAGTTCGTTCCCAGCAAGAGCTCCATACTGGCTATAAGCAGGGATGCATGCTGTAGTCTCAGGAGGGGAGGTTCACAAAAGTAATTCAGACCAAGAGCCCAAACTGTATTCTCTACTAAAAGGAATCAAGGCTTCCTACAGAAATGGCTGACTTCTTGTATGGTGCAGTATATAGATCATGGAACATCTTTTATGCCAGAAAGCAATGAAGCCATCAAAGTCCAACAAGATCACGTCAAAAAGACATGAGAGACAACTTGAAGAGATAATTATTTACCTAGATGAGACAAGGTATGCATCCAAAACAATTAATAAATAATAACTGCAATGGTCTAAAATATATCAAATGCAAACAATAATCTATGAATTCACAATGATATTCAGGAAAAAAAAAAAACTATTGGTCACTAGAGTAGAGGTTACTAGGTCACTAACTCCTTATTCTGAAAAGTGACTTAAAATGGGAGGTAGGGTGGAGAATTCAGTATGTATCCAGTTTTTCCTCTACAAACAAATTTTTAGGGAGATTGAATAAGATGAAATAAATCTGGCAAAATGGAGATAACTGCTTAATCTGGGGGTTGGATACATGGAGGTTCATCATATTTCTTTTGTGTATATTTGAACCCCCTCCAAAAAAAGCACAAGACAGAATGTGAGCTAAGCAGCTTAGGTTCACTCCTGTAATCCCAGCATTTTGGGAGGCCAAGACAGGTGGATCACCCAAGGTCAGGAGATCAAGACTAGCCTGGTCAACATGGTAAAACCCTGACTTTACTAAAAATACAAAAAAAAAAAAAAAATCAGCCAGGCATGGTGCTGCATGCCTGGAATCTCAGCTCCTCGGCAGGCTGAGGCAGAATCGATTGAACCCGGGAGGCAGAGGTTGCAGTGAGCTGAGATCGCACCACTGCACTCCAGCCTGGGCAACAAGGGTGAAACTCCAGTTTTAACTCTGTCAGATGAATCCACACATCACCAAGCAGTTTCACAGATGGCTTCTTTCTAGTTTTTATCCAAGGCTATTCTGTTTTACCCCATAGGACACAAAGGGCTCCCAAATGTCCCTTTGCAGATTCTACAAAAATAGTATTTCCAACCTGCTGAATCAAAATAAAGGTTTACCTCTGTGAGTTGAATCCACATATCACAAGGCAGTTTCACATAGCATTTTTTTTAGTTTTTATCTGAGGATATTCGTTTTTTTCCCTTAAGCATCAATGGGTTCCCAAAAGTCCCTTTGCAGATTCTTCAATAAGAGTGTTTCTAACCTGCCAAGTCAAGACAAAGTTTTAACTCTGTTAGATGAATCCACACATCACCAAGCAGTTTCACAGATAGCTTCTATCTATTTTTTATCTGGGGATATTCATTTTTTTACCCATAGGCCTTAATGGGATACTAAATATTCTTCTGCATATTCTTCATAAAGAGTGTTTCCAAAATGCTGAATCAAAAGGAAGTTTTAACTCTATGAGGTGAATCCACACTCACCAAGCAGTTTCACAGACAGCTTCTTTCCAATTTTTATCTGGGGATAATTGGTTTCTCCCCATAGACCTCAATAAGCTCTGAAATGCCCCTTTGCAGATTCTATTAAAAGAGTGTTTCCAACCTGCTAAATCAAAACAAAGGTTTAACTCTGTGAGGTGAATCCACACATCATCCAACAGTTTCACAGATAGCTTCTTTTTAATTTTTATTTTGAGATATTCAGTTATTCCCCATAGGCATCAATGTGCTCCCAAATGTCCCTTTGAAGATACTACAAAAACAGTGCTTACCACCTGCTGAATAAAAAGAAAGGTTTAACTATTGAGTTGAATCCACGCATCACCAAGCAGTTTCACAGATAGCTCCTTTCTAGTTTTTATCTCAGGATATTCAGATTATTCTTAATGCTTCAATGGGCTCCGAAATGTTCCTTCGCAGATTCTACAAAGAGAGTGTTTTCAACCTGGTTAATCAAAGGAAAGTTTTAACTCTGTTAGATAAATCCACACATCACAAATCAGTTTCACAGATAGCTTCATTCAAGTTTCTATCTGGGGATATTTGATTTTTTCCCACAGGCATCAATGGACTCCAAAATGTCCCTTCACAGATTCTACAAAAAAATATTTCCAAACTGCTGAGTCAAAAGGAAGTTTTAACTCTGTGACATGAATCCACACATCACCTAGCAGTTTCACAGATAGCTTCCTTCTAGTTTTTATCTGGGGATATTTGGTTTTTTTTTTCCATAAGCATGAATGGGCTCCCAAATGTTCCTTCACAAATTCTACAAAAAGAGTGTTTTCAACCTAGTGAACCAAAGGAAAGGTTAAACTCTGTGAGATGAATCCACACATCACCAAGGAGTTTCACATATAGCTTCTTTCTAGTGTTTATCTGCAGATATTCGGTTTTTCACTATAGGCCTCAATTGGCTCCCAAATGTTTCTTCACATATTCTACAAAGAGAGTGTTTCCAACCTGCTAAATCAAAAGGAAGGTTTAACTCTGTTAATGAATCCACACATCACAAAGCTGTTTCACAGATAGCTTCTTTCTATTTTTTATCTCAGGATATTCGGTTTTTCCTTGTAGGATTCAATGGGCTTTAAAATGTCACTTCACTTATGCTACAAAAAGAGTGTTTCCAACCTGCTTAATCAAAAGAAAGGCTTAACTTTGTGAGATAAATCCACACATCACAAAGCAGCTTCACATAGGGCTTCTTTCTAGTTTTTAGCTGGGCATTTTCCATTTTTCCCCATAGGCCTCAATGGGTTCCCAAATGTCTCTTCGCAGATCCTACAAAATGTCTGTTACCAACCTGCTGAATCAAAAGAAAGGTTTAATTATGTGAGATGAATCCACACATCACAAAGCAGTTTCACAGATAACTTCTTTCCAATTTTTATTTTGGGATATTTGGTTTTTCTCCATAGGCCTAAATTGTCCCCCAAATCCCTTTCAGAGATTCTACAAAAAAAAGTGCCTACAATCTTCTGAATCAAAATAAAGGTATAACTCTGTGAGATGAAATGACAAATCACAAAGCACTTTCACAGATAGCTTTTTTTCTAGTTTTTATCTGGGGCATTCAGTTTTTCCCCATAAGCCTCGTCAGGCTCCTAAAAATCCCTTCACACAATCTACAAAAAGAGTGTTCCCAATCTACTAATCAATAGAAAGTTTTAACTCTGTGTGATGAATCCACTCATTGCTAAGCAGTTTCACAGATAACTTCTTTCTTGTTTTTATCTGAAAATATTCAGTTTTTCCTCATAGGTTTTGATGGGTTTTGAAAATTTCCTTCTCAGATTTTACAAAAAGAGTGTTTCCAACTTGCTTAATAAAAAGTAAAGTTTAACACTTTGAGATGGATCCACACATCACAAAGCAGTATCACACATAGCTTCTTTCTAGTTTTTATACGGGATAATCGTTTTTTCCCCATAGGCTTCAATGGAATCCCAAATATCCCTTTACAGAATCTACAAAAAGAGTGTTTCCAACCTGTTGAATCAAAATAAAGGTTTAACTCTGTGGGCTGAATCCACATATCACCAAGCAGTTTCACAGATAGCTTCTTTCTACTTTTTATCTGGGCCTATTCGGTTTTTCCCTGTAGGTTTCAATGGGCTCCCAAATGACCCTTCACAGATTCTACAAAAAGAATGTTTCCACGCTGCTGAGTAAAAAGAAGGATGTAATTCTGTGAGGTGAATCCACAAGTCACCCAGCAGTTTTACAGATAGCTTCCTTCTAGTTTTTATCTGGGGACATTTGGGTTTTTCCCATAGGTCTCAATGGGCTCCCAAATGCCATTTTGCAAATTCTACAAAAAAACTGTTTCCAATCTGCCGAATTCAAAGAAAAGTTTAACTCTCTAAGATTAATCCACACACCAAAAAGCAGTTTCACTAATAGCTTCATTATAGCTTTTATCTGGGAATATTCAGTTTTTTTCCATTGGACACAATGAACTCCCAAATGTACCTTCACAGATTCTACAAAAAGAGTGTTCCAACCTGCTAAATCAAAAGAAAGATTTAACTCTGTGAGATGTATCCACACATCACCAAGTAGTTTCACAGATTTCTCCCTTCTAGTTTTTACCTGGGGATATTTGGTTTTTCCCCATGGGTCAAAATGGCCTCCCAAATGTCTCCTCACAGATTCTACAAAACGAGTGTTTCCAACCTGCTGAAACAAAAGGAAGGATTAACTCTGTGAGAGGAATGCACACGCCACAAAGGAGCTTCACATATAGTTTCTTTCTACTTTTATCTGAGGATATTCATTTTTTCCCGACAGGCCTTGACAAGCTCTGAAATGTCTCTTTGCAGATTCTACAAAAAGAGTGTTTCCAACCTGCTGAATCAAAAGAAAGTTTTAACTCTGTCAGATGAATCCACACATCACCAGGCAGTTTCACAGATGGCTCCTTTCTAGTTTTTATCCGAGGATATTCTGTTTTACCCCATAGGACTCAAAGGGCTCCCAAATGTCCCTTTGCAGATTCTACAAAAAGAGTGGTTCCAATGTGCTGAATCAAAAGAAAAGTTTAACACTGTGAGATGATTCCACACATCACAAATCAGTTTCCCAGATAACTTCTTTCTAGTTTTTATCTGAGGATATTTTGTTTTTCCCCATAGGCCTCAATGGACTCCCAAATGTCCATTGGCAGATTCTACAAAATGAGTGTTTCCAACCTGTTGAATCAAAAGAAAGGTTTAATTCTGTGAGATGAATCCACACATCACAAAGCAGTTTCACAGATAGCTTCTTTCTAGTTTTTATCTGGAGATATTTGGTTTTTCCCCATAGGCCTCAAAGGGGTTTGATTTTCCCTTCACAGATTCTACAAAACGAGTCTTTCCAACCTGGTGAAACAAAAGAAAGGTTTAACTTTATGAGATGAATCCACACACAACAAAGCAGTTTCACAGATAGCTTCTTTCTAGTTTCTATCTGATGATATTTGTTTTAACCCCAGGCCTCAATGGGCCTTCAAATGTCCCTTTGCAGATTCTACAAAAAGACTGTTTCCAGCTGTTGAATCAAAAGAAAGGTTTAATTCTGTGAGATGAATCCACACATCACAAGTAGTTTCACTGATCCCTTATTTGAAGTTTTTTTTTCTGCGGATATTCTGTTTTTCCCTATAGGCCTCAATGGGCTCCAAAATGTCCCTTCACAGATTATATATATATATATATATATATATATATATATATATATATATATATATATATATATATATAAAAGTGTCTCCAAACTGCTGAATCAAAAGAAAAGTTAACTCTGTGAAATGAATCCACACATGACCAGGCCATTTCACAGATAGCTTCTTACTTGTTTTTTTCTAGGGATATTTGGTTTTTCCACATAGTCCTCAATGGGTTCCAAAATGTTCCTTCACATATTCTGCAAAAAGCGTGTCTCCAACCTGCTGAATGAAAAGAAAGATTTAACACTGCGAGATGAATCTGCACATCACCAAGCAGTTTCACAGCTTCTTTCTAGTTTTCATCTGTGGATATTTGTTTTTTCTTGTAGACCTCATTGGGATCCCAAAAGTTTCTTCACAGATTTGACAAAAAGAGAGTTTCCAACCTGCTGAATCAAAGGAAATGCTTAAATCTGTGAGATGAATACACACATCAACAAGCACTTTCACAGAGGCTTCTTTCCAGTTTCTATCTGGGGAAATTCACTCTCTCCCCATAGACATCAATGGCCTCCCAAACATCCCTTTGCAGATCTTACAAAAAGAGTGTTTCCAACCTGCTGAATCAAAAGAAACATTTAACTCTGTGAGATGAGTCCACACATCACCAAGGAGTTTCACAGATAGCTTCTTTCTAGCTTTTATCTGGGGATATTCACTTTTTCCACATAGGATTCAACAGGCTCCCAAACGTCCCTTTGCAAGTTCTATAAAAAGAGTGTTTCCAACCTGCTGAATCAAAAGAAAGGCTTAACCCTTGAGGTTAATCCACACATTACAAAGCAGTTTCACAGATAGCTTTTTTCTAGTTTTTATTTTGGGATATTGTGTTTTTCCCATAGACCACAAAGGGCTCCCAAATGTCCTTCCACAAATACTACAAAAACTGTTTTTCCAACCTGCTGAATTAAAAGAAATCTTTAAATCTGTGAGATTAATCGACACATCACAAAACAGTTTCACAGACAGTTTTGTTCTAGTTTTTATTTGTGTATATTCAGATTTTCCCCAAAGGCCTCAATGGGCTCCCACATGTAAATTCGCAGATTCTACAAAATGAGTGTTTCCAACCTGTTGAATCAAAAGAAAGGTTTAATTCTGTGAGATGAATCCACATATCACAAAGCAGTTTCACACATAGCCACTTTCTAGTTTTTTCTAGGGATACTCTGTTTCTACCCATAGGTTTCAAAGGGCTTTCAAATGTCCATTTGCAGATTCTAGAAAAACAGTGTCTTCAATCAGCTGAATCAAAAGAAAGGTTTAACTCTGTAAGATGAATCCACACATCTGGCATTATATGTGAATGCTTATTATTTCAGAAATGCAGATTTGTTTATATGGTTGGAGTTTCTAAGTCCTCTGCACTATCCATTAGTGCTGTCTGTCTGGATGTGTTTCCTGATCTTTGTGTGAGGAAGTTGCCCCTGTTCAACATGACTCAAAAAGAAAATAATAGACTCATTGGAGTTTTGTCATGATGTGCCAGGGGCATCATGAATGATGTCTCCCACGAAGAATGACAGCAGCTGCCAAAGGATGCAGTAGGCAGGCACTGGCCCGATTACAGAGCAGTGAGTCAGTTTCAGGAGGCTGTGTGGAAATACAACTGATTCCTGAGGCAGTGAGGAAGGGGGAAGAGCCGGAAGAAGTTACAGGGAGAAGCAGAGGATGCTGCCTTCATTGGAGGATGCTTCGGTCCTGAGCAAAGTGGAGAAGAACTAAAGGCCATAGCACTCCCTTTGGTGAATGGTTGAATGGTTTGGAAAGGGGAAAGAGTGAAAGGGGAATGACAGTGTTACATGGGACACATTAGAAGGCAGCTGAGAAAGATGAAGAAAATTCCTCAGATTAGGGAGCCACAGAACTGGCTTCTAGCACTGGAACTCTCTCTCACTGTGTGACTTAGACAAATTATCTCCACTTTTCTTGTGGATCTTGTGTAAAATAAAATGGTCTGATGTCTTCTAAAGGTCCTTCCAACCAGAAAATGATCTGAGCAAAACAGTCTTATATGACACTGCTTCTGAGTCTATAAACACACACATTTAACTCAGACTATTTCAACTGCATGCCTGGCAAAAAGAGAAGGAGTAGGTGGAGTGGAAGGGAGAAGAGAGAGAGCCCAAGACCAAGACAGAATAAACCCATAAATGAAGCAATGATGATAATGCTGGCCCATCTTCACATCTATGAAGTGACTTAGCCAGAGTGACTTAGAAGACACTTGATTCTTCACCCCTCACATTTCATCTCAGCACCTACTGTATGAGCATCTCACCCTCTTGAAAAACACTGGTGTTTAAACATATTACTCTTATGATGAAGGAAGAAAACCTGTTTGGGTTGGGTTTAGAGAAAAATGGCACATTGAACTTTTATGTAGTGTCTTCCTAAATAACCTTCAATGACAATTCATAATATATGTGATTTTTTTCTTACCTCATGTGCTGACTCCAGAATTGTAGAATGCTACACCTACTTCCTTTTACTGTTCTGGGAATCGCAGTTGTAACTTAGGGAGTGTATTAAAGAGATCCACTAAGCCATGAAGACCTGGATGAGATCATAGTCATCATTCTTAGAGTATCTGTCTAAAAGTGATGACAGTAACAAAAATAACTAATTTGTGTCAAGGGTCTTTGTGCCATGTACCGTGTGGAACATTTTATACATATTCTCAGGTTTTCCACAATGATCTCATGGTTCGCTCAACAACTAACTTACTTTATTGCCCACTTACTACATGACAGAAAGTCTTCTCAGCTCCAGGGAGATAGTAGCAAACAAAATGAAATAAAGTTTCTGTTCTTATGATGTTGAATTCTGATGAGAGAGAGATGATAAACAAATAAATATATACAGCATCAAGTGATGAGAAGCCGTATGGAGAAAAATGAAGCAGGATAAGGATAGAGAATGTCAAAGGGAGGCTTACATCTGTAATCCCAGCACTTTGGGAGGTTGAGGCAGGAGGATCACATGAACCCAGGAGTTCAAAACCAGCCTGGGCAACATAGTGAGACCCCGTCTCTACAAAAAACTTTAAAAAATTAGCTGGATGTGGTAGCATACACCTATAGTCCCACCTACTTAGGAGGCTGCCTTGGGAAGATTGCTTGAGCCAGAGAGGTTGTGGCTGTAGTGAAATGTAATCACACCACTGGACTCCAGCCCGGGTGGCAGAGCTAACCTGTCTCAAAAATGTTTATATATATAAACATAAAAATATGATATATATAACTATATAAAAAAGACAGAGGATGCCAGAAGGAAAGGTGGGTGCAATTTAAATAGGGTGGACAGAGATGTCTCTCTGGTAAGGGTGAGCAAGCAAGGGAATGAGTCCTATGCCCAGGCCAAGAAAGCACTGGGATTGCCCTGTCTGCACATGGGGAAACCAAGCTTCCAAAGCCTCTTATTTAATAAAAGATGATGATCTCACTACATCTCAACACAGCCTCTGCTTCACATATAACCAGATACAGGTCAGAAGAGGGCTGTGACTATACGAGATTAGCAAGTCCAGTGGAAACACGAAACTCCACACGTCTCCTAGCACATCATTGCTTTGTCTGTGTAAAGCTTGATCTGGTTGATTTCTTCCTATTACATTGAAATAACAGAATGGAAAGTTGCATTGGTGTTACATAGAAAATTTATAAGTTTTCCTGATTGTTTTCTCCCTTTTACTCAATCCAGGAATAAAGAGTCAATGCAGCATGGATTCAGACATGCTCACAGAGGGTCAGGGGACTCCTCAAAGAGGTTGCAGGGACTTCTTTGTCAGGTGACAGAGATGTTCAGTGGTCAGAGCTCCAGGTTGACAACCCCTGCTTTAACCAGAGCATCAGTGACTCTGTATTATACACTGTGGCTCTGAAAATGAGATTTCTGGGACCCGCACAAAGCTTGAAAATAGTGTGCATGCGATGGCTCCTTGTGAAGAGGAAATAAAGATGTTCTTTGAGTCATCTTAAAAAACTGGCTTTAAAGTCAGGAAACAACAGGTGCTGGAGAGGATGTGGAGAAATAGGAACACTTTTACACTGTTGGTGGGACTGTAAACTAGTTCAACCATTGTGGAAGTCAGTGTGGCGATTCCTCAGGGATCTAGAACTAGAAATACCATTTGACCCAGCCATCCCATTACTGGGTATATAACCAAAGGACTATAAATCATGCTGCTATAAAGACACATGCACACGTATGTTTATTGCGGCACTATTCACAATAGCAAAGACTTGGAACCAACCCAAATGTCCAACAATGATAGACTGGATTAAGAAAATGTGGCACATATACACCATGGAATACTATGCAGCCATAAAAAATGATGAGTTCTTGTCCTTTGTAGGGACATGGATGAAATTGGAAATCATCATTCTCAGTAAACTATCGCAAGAACAAAAAACCAAACACCGCATATTCTCACTCATAGGTGGGAATTGAACAATGAGATCACATGGACACAGGAAGGGGAAAATCACACTCTGGGGACTGTGGTGGGGTGGAGGGAGGGGGGGAGGGATAGCATTGGGAGATATACCTAATGCTAGATGACGAGTTAGTGGGTGCAGCGCACCAGCATGGCACATGTATACATATGTAACTAACCTGCACAATGTGCACATATACCCTAAAACTTAAAGTATAACAAAAAAAAAAAACTGGCTTTAAATGTAAAATTTCCTTAAAAGTTTCCAGTGGAATAAAAATCATAGGTGGTAGCTTGTATGTTTTCAAAAATAAATGTTTTTTTATGTGTTTCTTGGCTGCATAAATGTCTTCTTTTGAGAAGTGTCTATTCATATCCTTTGCCCACTTTTTGATGGGGTTGTTTGTTTTTTTCTTGTAAATTTATCTGAGTTCATTGTAGATCCTGGATATTAGCCCTTTGTCAGATGAGTAGGTTGCAAAAACTTTCTCCCATTCTGTAGGTTGCCTGTTCACTCTGATGCTATTTTCTTTTGCTGTGCAGAAGCTCTTTAGTTTAATTAGATCCCATTTGTCAATTTTGGCTTTTGTTGCCATTGCTTTTGGTGTTTTAGACATGAAGTCCTTTCCCATGCCTATGTCCTGAATGGTATTGCCTAGGTTTTCTTCTAGGGTTTTTATGGCTTTAGGTCTAACATGTAAGCCTTTAATCCATCTTGAATTAATTTTTTATAGTGGCACTATTCACAACAGCAAAGACTTGGAACCAACCCAAATGTCCAACAACAATAGACTGGATTAAGAAAATGTGGCACATATACACCATGGAATACTACACAGCCATAAAACATGATGAGTTCATGTCCTTTGTAGGGACATGGATGAAACTGGAAACCATCATTCCCAGCAAACTCTCGCAAGGACAAAATACCAAACACCGCATGTTCTCAGTCATAGGTGGGAATTGAACAATGAGAACACATGGACACAGGAAGGGGAACATCACACACTGGGGACTGTTGTGGGGTTGGGGGAGAGGGGAGGGATACCATTAGGAGATATACCTAATGCTAAATGACGAGTTAAAGGGTGCAGCACACCAACATGGCACATGTATACATATGTAACAAACCTGCACGTTGTGCACATGTACCCTAAAACTTAAAGTATAATAATAATAAACTAAATAAATAAATAAATAATTAATTAAAAATAAATTATGGTACAATGGAATGTTCACCCAGACAAATTAATTATTCATTCCCTTACCCTAATTCAACAGTATTCCATACACAGCACTTATCACAGTGCTTACTCATATTTATATGTTTGTCTGAGTTTCCCTGAAAACTAGGGATTCATAAATAAATAAATAAATAAATAAATAAATAAATAAATAAATGTTGTATGCAGGTATGGTATTGGGTGAGAAAGGATTTTAGGCAATTCTAATCAAAGATTTGAAGAAACAATTAAAGATCACTGCCTGACTATGCTTTTCTCTCTCATCTTTTCTGATGGATGTAATGGATATGACAGGCTCTATTTAAATACACAAACATGGGTACTTATCTATAGACTAGAGCTTTATGGGTTTTTTTTAAGGTCAGTTCTTTTTTAAATATAAACATTGAATGAGGAGGGACTTCTTCAACTCCAAACATTTCAGGAAACGTCTAATTTTCATACTGATTAAATTAGAAGTCTTACCCATTATGTGAATAAATAAAAGGAAGAACTGTAAAGAGGCATTGAAAGCCAGAGTTTCTTGTCCAATGAAGTTAATAAGAAAATAATTTCCTCATAATTTCACTGTTTGTTGCAGTTTGGTTTAAAAAAAATGGTGAATATTCAGGGCATATAGATAGATGTTGTTGGCTGTGGTGGTTATGTGTGTGTGTGTGTGTGTGTGTGTGTGTGTGTGCGTGCGTGTGTGTGCGTGTGTGTGTGTGTGTATATATGTTCAAGGGTTTGCTGAGAAAAAAAGGCCTGTCTCCCCTTTTTTCCCCCTAAAGGACCATTAAAGCAGGGAACAGCAATTATTCTCCAGTTTGCATTTGCTCTTTTCTCCTTTGAGTGATAGCCCCTCACTGCTTTTTGGCAGGTCACATGGCTGCCTATTAGAAATATTAGAAATGCTTCCCAGGAGCTAAGCGATGCTTTGTGACTAAGCTCTCACCAATGGAGCAAGAGTGGAAGTGACAGGCAGACCTGCTGAGCCACCTCCTTAAATACAATTTGTTTCCTCTTTACTTTCTCTCTTTCCTCCTCACCATGAACAGGAACTTGGATACATAGTGTGAACCATTCTTACCTAGGTAGGTGAGAAACACACTGGAGGGTGACAGAGCACCATGGGAGAAGGAAGAAGGAAGAAGTATCCACCCATGGATGCTCGGGTAATTTAGTGGAGAGGAGCTACCTACAGCATGCATCACATGCCTAACGGATCTGAGGAAAAATTAGAAGTTGACCTGGACCCAGAATACTGAATTTTTGAATCCCATTCTTTACCAGCCATCTATTATCCTTTTAGGTGCACAAGAAAATTGTATATGTAAATGAGGATTTAGTTTCAAACTCTAGTTCTCTGCTCCACTGGATCACGCAGAGCAAATGTTGCAAACCTGGTCACCAACAGGGGCTGGGCAGGTAAGTGCAAAGAAGCAAAACTTACTGAGTAGAGCTTGGTGTAGTGGAGAATGTGTGATCCACCTAAAGGACTGTTGTTCTGGGACATGGGCCTCAGCATTTCTTGATATTTTTACCTGTTTAAAAGAAAATAGAAATCCAGATTTTTTAAAAGTAGAATCCACAGACTTTTTAATTAACAAGCTAAGTTTCACAACATTTTAAAGTAAAAATACTATGCACACTGTGATACTTAATTTTATATGTCAACTTCTCTGGCCCCCAGGGGGCCAAATACCTGGTTAAAATATCTGGGAGTGTCTGTGATGGTGTTTCTGGAAGAGATAGCATTTGAACTGGTGGACTAATAAAGCAGATGGCCATCTCTAATGTTGAGTGTGCATCATCTAACCCTTTGAGGGCCTGAATAGAGCAAGAATGTAGAAGTTTGAATTAACTCCGCCTAACTTCCTGAATTGTGACATTTATCTTCTCCTGCCTTCGATACTCCTAGGTCTCAGCTGTTCAGCTCTAGACTGGAATTTACATCAGTGGCTTGCGTTTGGATCATAATCCTGAAAGACACAATTCCAAATGCCATAATCCTGAATGGTGAAATTCCAAAAGATCAAAATTCCAAAAGTTTAAATCCTGAAAGATCAAAATTCCCAATGTCTAAAATTGTGAAATTCACAATCCCAAAAGATTAAAATCCCAAATGTTGAAATCCTGAAAGCCAAATTCTGGGAAGCTGTATGCAGGATAGTTACATCATGTAGGCAAAATTATTATCTTCTTATTGTCTTTATTTGCATTTGGTGGAAAAGTCAAATGAGTGGATTAGCCACAGCATACAGCAACAAATAAAACTTCAGTTTAAAAATGCATCATTTACCTTCCTACTAATGACATTTCAGGAGGTTTTAATGAATTAAAGCTGAATTTGCTTGAAGAAGCCAGTAAAGCTTACTGACTGGTTCAAAAATTATTATGTGCACAGTAGGATAAGAAGATGTAATGTTCACAATGGCATTGCTGTTCGATCACCAGCACTGTTTCTGCCAAACTTGTGTTCTGTCTATGAGGGCACGTGAAATGGATTTCTGTGAACCCTAAACAACGTAGAAGCATGGCACAGAAGGTAGAAAGCTTTAATAGGAAATGCTCATATCAGTATACATAGAATCATGGAAGAATTTTGAAAAGAGCAGTGCCACATAGGAAATGAACGTAAACATATTATCTGAAGAGAGCCATGCCCTAAAAGAAAAAAGCAGATATTCATTGTGATGAAAGACTTCAAAATATAGTTAATGACCATGAAAGTCCGCCAGTTCTTAGGGATTGTCTCTGTGCAATTGCCCACAATCTGTCCTTGTAATAATACACTTTTTCATATGTCAAATTTTAGTTTTAGTTTTCTTTCTTAGTATATTTTTTACTATTTTAAATTGTACTATTTTTACAACTTACTATGCATTTCATCTTTGTATCATTTTCAATACTGGAGGTGTAAATGGTGTAGAAACTTTTAGACAGTTCTGATACTTTTTATGCGTTTTCAAATTTGATTCCATGAAGTACATTATCACAATGTGGACTGTGTTTAAACATTATGCATATACATAAAAATACTGAAACTTCTTCAATAAATAAAGAGATATCTTTTCTGTACATCTACATTGTGAAAGATAGAATTTCTCAAGATCTTAGCTCTTTGGGGTATGGTGTAAATGATGGTTTTGATTGGTCCCATCAAAAGACTTAGGTGGTTGGTCATGGTATTTCAGATGACCTCAGTTATAAAGCTAGGTGCACACAATTACCAACCATAGTGATATGTGTTTATACATTTCCCTTTTTGACCTCTTTATGAATACAGTACATCTGCTCATAACTGTTATACCCATGTGACTGTTGTTAGCATATCTCAGTGTTTATACTTGCAAACATATGCATATTATTGCTTATTTTATCACATAAAGTGGCCTATGAAGTATTCATTCATGTTTTTATGTTTCTTAGATAAATCCTCCTTTAAAAATGTAAATAAATATTTTAGATAATTTTAATTTTCTCCAGAAGTACATTTTGGGGATTTTGATCTCTTGGGATTTCAACATTCAGGATTCTAGTGATGGGGCTTGTGCCTTTCGGGATTATGATTGGCTCCCCATTGGCTCTCTTGCTCTCAGGCCTTGGAAGTACATCAAAAGCTTGCCTGGGTCTCCAGTTTTCAGGTGGCAGAATGTGGGGCTTCTCTGCCTCCATAATTGCATGAGCCAATGATTTATAATAATCTCTTTTATCTACCTTTCTATCATTCAATCCATCAATCATGTATCTATCCATCTCCTATTGATTCTGTTTCTCTGGGCAATCCTGACTAATATATGCACCAACAAAAATATTTCTGCATGGTAAGGCCCTAAGGCCTAAGAGAAATTTCCTGTTGCTTGAGCTAAAAATTAATCTAGGATCTATTACCAAAGCTATGTGGTTGGCGGACATTTTGAGTCACTCTGTGAAGTCTCACAACAAAATCCTGGATATCTAATCTGTTAGTAAGATAAATCTGTTTTAGGCCAAATGTATATAGGGAGCAAAAAGATTCAAGTCCAAATGAAAGAGAGAAAATTAGCCTAATGTCTTGAGCAGATATAGTATGGACATTTGATCAAACCTTTCTTGGCCAAGCCAGTAGTTCTGGAGACTATTTTCCTAGCCATTGGAATTAGTTAGGTTTTCCTGGTTCAAACAAAATAACTTGCTAACAAGCAAAGTGAACAATTTATTGGAATGCCACAAACATCTGGGAATTTGGGCAGAGCAGCAACCAATGAAACTTTTAGAATCTTGTCTTCTTGTCTTTTTTTGCCAATGAGAAGACTCAGCATCTAGTACCTTTGACCTTGTCTTTACATCTTAGCTGGAGCTCCATACCCACAACTAATAGCTGCTAAATGTCTCGAATCATGTCTGAATAAGGGACCAGGTAACTATGCCATAGTACACATAGTCAATGGACTGGGATGAAACCATCAGAAAGGATGTGGTAGATCTGTTTGCTACTTGCGGAAGTGGGGCACCAAGGTTATCAGCCACACAGAGTGGGAAAGGGAAGTTCCACAAACAAAAACCACAGTGCTCCTTCTAAAAGAAGGGGAAATTATTCTTGGTTAGGCCAAAACAATAGATATTCATCATCATAACAGTTTCCATGGGAGGGTTCCCTTCTGGCATTTCTTGGGAAAATTGTATATTTTTTTCTGAGTCCCATATCCTGAGAAAAATGGGTTTTAGAAATCAGAAAAATGGAGAGGGGGAAGTATTGCAATTCTCTTGTGAGAATAAAAGATTAACATTCAACTTAGAGACATTACTTCTGAAAGGAATGCAGTAACGTCAAGAAGAAAGCAAGAGCAGGAAAAGCTGACATGCAGAGTTGAAGGTCGAAGTCAACATTTCAAGTAACTGGGAAAGGGGCAAGAAGAGGAGAAACAATCACTGTCTCACCACTTTTGCTCATAGCTGTAGCCATGTAATAAATGCACGTTCATGATGCTGTCTGTCACTAATGGTAAATTTTTACAATTAAAGTGAATGTTAAGGTTCTTCACATGTTATCCTTTATCCTCTCTACTAAACCTATGGGTGGTGTTCCAAGAAATAAAAAGTTTTGAAAACAAAATAAGTTATTCAATTGATCTCTACACATGGTTCTGTGTAGAGCTGTTAATCTTAAAAGATTAGAATGTTACATCATTTAAAAGCCACTCAATAATATTCAACTTTTCTAGTACTTATATATTCAATCTAGACTACATTCTTTGTAAATAGTCTTACTAAACCAATGTATCTTACCTATTGAACAATTTTTTGATCTTCCTAATGAACTAGTACATGAGGAATATGGGAAGTATTTTAATCACAATTTATGATTTAGGGTATTCTGGAGAATTTTGATCTTATTTCCAAATCCCTAATATTAGTATCTGTCTGGAGTTTGGAAACTACACCAGCCACAGGGATGAGAGAGTGTTCAAAGAAAAAGCAAGAGAGGGAAACAAGGAGAAGGAAAGCTGGCTGAGTCTTCTTAAAAGGGAGAGCTGAGGCAGGTTTTACACTGTCATCCCTGAGAAGCAGAGAGAGACCCTTATGAAGGAAAACCAAGGGAGACACAGAGCAGGCGACTCTATTATGGAGATGTGAGAGAGGCACAGGGACAGCGCGTGCACGCGCACGTGTGTGTGTGTGTGAGAGAGAGAGAGAGAGAGAGAGAGAGGGGGTGGGGAGACAGAGAGAGACAGAGAGAGGCAGGTGATGGTAGGAGGAAAGGAAGAAAGCAGAAATAAGTTCTTTCTAAGGGGCTAAGGAAAACCATTAGAAATTCAACTTGTTTAAGTATTTAAGATTAGATAATTGTCTAAATGTGGCTGTGAGAGCTCAGTCTGGGCTGACCAGGCAAGGACCAGGTGGACCCGAGGAGGACCTCTCAACCCTCATTGGGAGGGGATGCACCTGCATATGGTTTCTAATGGAGTTGGGGTATCCCTTCTGTCAAGGAGTAACTGTAAGTCCCATTTGGCCTCAAGGTCTCCAGAACCTTGAGGTGGACCAGCTGGTGTTCCCAGACAATTGCTACAAATGGTGGGAATATATTATAGAATTTGTCCCCCAAACTCCACTGGCGATCCAAAAGGACTCACCTACAAGGACAAAGACCAGCTGACAGTGTTTAGAAAGAGATCTGTTTTATGAATGACTTGAATGACAATACAGAAGACATGCTTAACACTAACTGTACAAGTATAAGAAGTGAAGAGACTTCAAGGTTTAGACTGAGGGGAGACTCAGTGTGAATAATTAATAGGCAGGGCTGCAAAAAATCTAATGTGATCTGTGATGAACAAACAATAATATTTCTCGTGAGTATCAAATGAGATACTGCATGTGGTGTCAGGAATGCACTAAGTGCTCAAAAAGTGTTAACTACCACTAATGCTGTGGTTACTGTTTGCTATTGTTAACATGAGGGTGAAAAGAAGGGAGAAGAACGGTGACTGCTCCAGGGCCTGTGTCCTTGCTCTGCCCTCCTGTTTCCTCTCTTTTCTTTTCTTCTACACTCTCCCTTAACTCTACTTCAGCGTTGCTGGGGATGGCAAAAATGGAGTTAGGAAATGAGGGGAGATGGGAACTAGGATCAGTAGTCAACCTGAAATTCCTCATACCTAATAGGCCCATGTCAGGAGCTTTCTGTGGATCATGTGACTGAATCCTCACAACACCTCCAAAAGTTAGAAATTATGGCTTCCTCATTTTCCAAACAACAAACCAAGGCTCAAAAAGTGACTCTTCCAATGTTATAGAGCTAAGAGGAGGCAGAACTGGGATTTAAAGCTACATCCTTTCATTTTTCTTCATGGCTTTCTCTATGTGACTAGAGACCCATTGTAGCAGCTGCAATTTTCTGAGTCTGCAGCAGGGGTGGTGGGGTTTGGGGGTGGAAATGAGGGTGTGTGTGGAAGGGTTCTGGGGGATTCTGGATTGGGGTAGGAGAAGAAAGAGGATTCAACAAACATAAGTATGTCTATGTTGTATTTCCAACCAATTCAAAATGTCTGTTCCCCTAAGAGTGGCTCAACAATAGTATCTTTGCTTTTTAGTTCCAGAAAAATGGTTGGATTTTAGACTTCTAAATTTGCCCGCAGCCCCTGATGGGTTAGATGAAACACCTCCAATTTGAAGTGGCTGTACAAGGAAAATCGAGCTGTGAGAGTCATTGGCAAGTTTTTATTTTCCTTTCACCTCAAAGCTCTCATACTCAATTTGGATAAAAAAAATTACAGGATGAAAAAAAGCTCTCCCTTTGGAGATAAAAATAGCACATGCCACATCACTTCTAAGAGCAAGCTAGCAGCTGAAACAAATTATTTATATCGTATCCCTGGCCCTTTTCTAAGTTTGTTGGTCACCTTTCTGTTTAATTACTCTTGCCATTATGATTTAAAGCTCTCACATTTATGGCATTCATTTCAGTAGCACCTGCTTGCATGGATTTTTTTTTTTTCTCAGCTTTACAGTTTAGCCAAGTCACACCAAATAGCAGTTTTAGAAGTTCATTACCCACTTCTGAGCCCTTTACCCTGAAAACAATAGCTATAATTTTAGAAGAAAAAGATACTGACTAGTCAATGACTTTACTTATACTGCAAAATTTTCACAAATTATCTTGTTCTGTATTCAGCTACCAGTTCCCAAATCTATGTAGAAAAATGATCAAGTCTGGGGGGGGTCTATCTTTGTTTTCTCTTTTCTTCTCTCTTAGTTGAAAGTAAATAATAGTTTAGGGGGCATGGAGAAGAATATATATTTAAAATGTTATTTTTTTCATTTACAGAAACATTTTCTGGTACCCGGTGGACTTGGGATAGGCAGAAACCTTATTAACTAAAATTTGAGAACTCTTTAGTTTGGTAACTTTGGAGTGGTTCTTTGTTGTGGTTTGAATTCTAGGATGGGAGCAAAAGCTGTCAACAACCTTGGAGAATTACTGAACTTTTCCTGCATTTGTTCTTCACCAATATAAGAAATTGCTCTCTTCAGCATGGGGACTAGTGGAGCTTACTTTAAAAAAATAAGGACAGGGTGATATTTCTCTTCCTTTGAACTGAAGGGGTGGCCTGCCCCTACACACTTGTGGGTATTTCTAGTCAGGTGAGACAAGAGACTGAGAAAAGAAATAAGACACAGAGACAAAGTATATAGAAAGAACAGTGGGCCCAAGGGACCAGCACTCAGCACACCAAGGACCTGCACTGGCACTGGCCTCTGAGCTCCCTCAGTTTTTATTGATTATTATTTTCATTATTTCAGCAAAAATGAATGTAGTAGGAGAGCAGGGTGATAATAAGGAGAAGGTCAGCAAAAAACATGTGAGCAAAAGAATCTATGTCATAATTAAGTTCAAGGGAAGGTACTATGCCTGGATGTGCACGTAGGCCAGATTTATGTTTCTCTCCACCCAAACATCTCAGTGGAGTAAAGAATAGCAAGGCAGCATTGCCACAAACATGTCTCACCTCCCAACACAGGGTGGTTTTTCTCCTCTCAGAATTGAACAAATGTACAATTGGGTTTTATGCTGAGATATTCAGTTCCCAGGGGCAGGCAGGCGACAGTGGCCTTCCTCTATCTCAACTGCAAGAGGCTCCTCTTTTACTAAACTACCTCAGCACAGACCATTTATGGGTGTCAGGCTGGGGGGTGGTCAGGTCTTTCTCATCCCACAAGGCCATATTTCAGACTATCACATGGGGAGAAACCTTGGACAATACCCCGCTTTCAAGGGCAGGGGTCCCTGTGGCTTTCCGCAGTGCATTTTGCCCTTGGTTTATTGAGACTAGAGAATAGCGATGACTTTTACCAAGTATACTGCTTGTAAATATTTTGTTAACAAGGCACGTCCTGCACAGTCCTACATCCCTTAAACCTTGATTTTATACAACACATGTTTTTGTGAGCTCCAGGTTGGGTCAAAGTGGCTGGGGCAAAGTGGTTGGGGCAAAGCTACAAATTAACAACATCTCAGCAAAGCAATTGTTCAAAGTACAGGTCTTTATCCAAATGGATTTTCCTATGTCTTTCCTTTCTATATAGACACAGTAACAGTCTGATTTCTCTTTCTTTTCCCTACATGAACTATCTTATCCTTGGGAAGAAGAAATAATTTGTAAACAGAACTTTGTCCCCCTATCCATGGTGATTGAAATTTAATGATACTGAGGAGAAAACACACAAGCAGGGATGACAAAATATCGAAGGGGGATTTGGGAAAGGCCTGTTTCACACCATTCACACATTCAGATTAGAAGGCTAACAATTATTTATGAGGTGGTCAAGTCATGAATTATTAACTATAGAGTGATGGCTTTGCTAGTGATAGAATTTTCTTAGCACTTTGTTTATTTTAGCAAACATTAGCTTACCACACTACATTAAGAGTGAACATTTAAAAGAACTGTACCAAAATATTTTTGTCAGCGTGTTTGTCATTGACAATTTGAAAGGAAACAGAAAGCTTTGTCCTCGTGCAGTGAAAGCTCTCACTTGCAGCCTACACAAAGCCAGAGAGGTAGGGCCAGATTCGTATCTGCACTTGTGTGGGGCAGAATGGGGGTTGCTGATTGGCAGGGGCCCTAGCCCTGTGAGAACATAGTTATTAGGAACAAATCAGGGCAGAGAAACGCCTCACTTTTCTGGACTGTTCAAGTTCAAATTAACTTTGGGGAATGGAAAGCCAGTCTCACTGATTGGAGAGTGGAATCTTTCAGGCAGAGTGAGTCTCATGAGGTCAACCTGGCCAGCATCCTGCTTTTGGGCAGGATATACATAAAAGACACTGGAAAAGTGACCATCCTATGGCAGATATCCCTCAAAAAGGCATATTTAACTTTAATGAAATAACAGTTCAGGGCTGAACTTACATTGAAATTGACAAATGTAATTTTGAATCTCATTAAGGCTGTCAAATTTTTGTGTTAGACATAAAGTAAAAGAATGCTGCAATTCCCAACTTCCTGTTCATAAAGTAAAAACTAAAAATTGTAAATTTCTGATTTATATTTTACCTTTTTGATACAAAATGCAACGACCTAGCTCCATAACACACATTTTAAAATTTTGTTCCTTTCCTTCTTAATTGACCACCTAAGAGTAAAATTAATCCTTCTGGGGTTAAAAGTAGTTCGCATTAGGCATGCCTAATAACTTCTTTCAAACTTACGGTTTTCATTAATTTTCAACACACTTGATCATTAGAATCAGTACTCTTGCTTTCCAATTTGTACTCATTTAATAATAAAAGCATAAAAGCTAAATTCAATATGTTGGTTG
The DNA here is from genome assembly GCF_000001405.40 of Homo sapiens. Taxonomy (NCBI): domain Eukaryota; kingdom Metazoa; phylum Chordata; class Mammalia; order Primates; family Hominidae; genus Homo; species Homo sapiens. Next base: position 50,133,364 of record NC_000011.10, read on the forward strand.
TACAGTTTGAGGATCACATGCAAACAATAACGCCCTTTATTTAGAGAGTAGTTTACTTTTTTCAGAGCATTTAGACAGTCTTGCAAAAGGACTAGTTTCTCTGAGAATACACATTTGAAAGAATATCCATCTATCAAAGGACAAAATGAGGTTATTAAAATGGCTTTCTTAACTGCAATGATTGTGGCATCAGAAACTAGGGCTTGCATTTCTTTTATGAAAGTGGAGAAAATTAATTTTCTTTGAATGCTATGTTTGCCTGATTCAGGAACAGCTGCTCCATTTCCGACTTTTGAATCTTTTCTTTACAAGACTAAATAACCCGATGACAAGTTTTATACTTAAAAGTTAACAGGAGATAATTCCTTGTCTTTTTTTTTTTTTTTTTTTTTCACCACTCCTATTCAACATAGTGTTGGAAGTTCTGGCCAGGGCAATTAGGCAGGAGAAGGAAATAAAGGCTATTCAATTAGGAAAAGAGGAAGTCAAATTGTCCCTATTTGCACATGACATGATTGTGTATCTAGAAAACCCCATTGTCTCAGCCCAAAATCTCCTTAAGCTGATAAGCAACGTCAGCAAATTCTCAGGATACAAAATCAATGTACAAAAATCACAAGCATTCTTATACACCAATAACAGACAAACAGAGAGCCAAATCATGAGTCTTGTAAATTGTGGTACAACAGCAAAATAGGCTAAACACAACAGAAAAGCCTTGTGAAGAAATGTTCCATAATGGTCATGAATGTGGGCTCTGACATTGGGCAGACCTGAATTGTACCCTGGCACTGCCACCGACTAGCTATGAGACTTTGGGGCAAGCCACAACAACTTTGTACCTCAGTTTCTTTACCTGTAAAATGGGGGATAGCAGTACTTGTTCATAATTGCTGCATGAATTAAATAATAGGATGCATGAAAATATTTTACAATAGAGCCTGGCTTAAAAATATATTAATATTTTGTTGTAGTCACATATTAATAATTACTATTATTTTCCTTTTAGCAGTCATTATTCTTTTACTCATCCACTGCAAACCTTCATTTATTATTTTACAGGTAACCTGGCTACTTTCCAAATAATTTTAGTCAGTTTAAAAGAAAACCAGAGGTATAGTAAGACCCAAACCAATTAATATAAAAGACAAAAATCTGAAAGAGAAATGGAACAACTGTGATGAGAATTCCTGGTTGAAGAAAGACACAGCAATGAACACGCAACTTAGCTCTGAGATTCTTACCAACCAGGGCAAAGAGGGAAACACAAAGGATTCAACAATTGAGTAGATTGCCATCTAGATGAAAATATTCCAGTTTGTTTTAATTATCAATAGCAGCATAACAAGCTACCCAAAACTTGTGGTTTAAACTATAATGATTTATATTTTTTCAGGGTTCTGTGGGTTGGCTGAGTGATTGTTCTGCTGATCTTGCTCGGGGTCACACATGTGACTTAGGATCATATATGTAGTTGACGGATCACTGGAGGCTGGGATCAGCTGGGGATGTTTATCACGATATCTTATTTCATCTCCATGTGGTGAACTTGAACTTCCTAACAGCATGGCAGTCTCAAGTTAACACTGCAAGAGGGAGAGTTCCAAAAGGACATTCCTTAATATACAAGTGCTTATCAAGTCTCTGCTCATTTGATGTGTCTCATGATGAAATCAAATCATATGTCCAATTTCAGAGTAATCCAAAGTTGGAACGCCAGATGTCATGGGTTATGGGGTCCATAGTCCACCACAGTTTCTTATGACAGGCCGAGTTAGAAATAATCTGGAACTCATTGGCCCCTAAAACTACTTTTTTTCTTTTTGAGCTGGAGTCTCACTCTGTTGCCCAAGCTGGAGTACAGTGGTGTGATCTTGGTTTACTGCAACCTCTGCCTCCCAGGTTCAAGCAATTCTCCTGCCTCAGCCTCTTGAGTAGCTAGGATTACAAGCATGTGCCACCACGCCCAGCTACTTTTTGTATTTTTAGTAGAGATGGGGTTTCACCACGTTGGCCAGGCTGGTCTCGAACTCCTGACCTCAGGTGATCTGCCCACCTCAGCCTCCCAAAGTGCTGAGATTAACGGTGTAAACCACCACACCCAACCCCCTATAACCATTTTTAATATTTGCTTTGTATAAACAGCTGTCTTCATGCTTTATATGCTTTTAATTATTAAATCTTGCTTCTGTGTGTTACATTCGTCTTCCCTTTACCCCCTCTATAGTGATAACACCAGTCTGTCTTATCAGCCCCTATCAGCCAGAAACTACAAAGATTTTGTTAGCCTTCTGCCTCCAGCAGCCCTGGAACAATTTTCTCTGCCCCTTTGCTGATGATACCCCCACACCTTCTTTACCAAAATGAAATTCAGCAATAGTCCTGTGCACGCTGTATATGGATGCAAACACTTCAGCACATCTCCTTGAGCTATGATGAATCACCGTTCTTGTGTGAGTTAGACCAACTGAAGAAACATTCAAAGTACAGATTCCTGGGCCTATTATAGCCTTACAGAAAGATCATATGGGACATTCTATAAGCACAAATAAGGATTTCCCTCTGAATTATACTCTCTTGCCCTTCTTTTGCCTTCTAACATTCATTTTTCTTTTAGCATTTTATGTATCCTTGGCCTACTTTACCTCTGAGTACATAAGTACGGGCAAGAGAGTGGGAGCTACAACCAATCGGCCTTGGATACAATTCTTTCCATCTCTTTTGGTCATGGTGTGACTTTGGATAAATCATGTTGCCCCTCTAAGCTTGCTTCATTATTTCTGAAGTGGAAATAATACTTCCTACCTCATATTATCTTCATAAAAACTAAATGTGACAATACAGGTAAAGTGTGGTGCCTCAAACATAGTAAGAATTCTATTATTGATATGATTGTACTTTCTGTGGTGCATAAGAATAAAGCCAATGCAGAAGAAAGCAGAGTTGACAGGTAAGGAAGCTAATCAATCTCTGAAGTCATTGTTTGAGCCTTTGGATCCAGCTGTGCCTGAAGCCTATTCTCCTCGTTGAGCTTCTCAGTTACTAAGGTTGATGGATTCCTTTTTTGGTTTAAGCCAGCTGGGATTAGATATCTGTCACCTATAATGGAGAAGTTCTTGCATATGTAGGACCAAACCTATACTGTGTTAGTTTCATCTGATGAATATGTTTTAAATGCAGGTTCTTGATCCTACCATTACTGATTCTGATTTTGTTGGCTTGGAATCGGGCCCAGGAATATGTATTTTTAGGGTACTCAAGATGACTCAGATGTCACTAGCCTACACATCCACTTTAGGAAACTATTGCCTTGAATTAGGAGTCTTTTTATTTGGTGGTCCCTTCAGGGCTTTGTAAGGTACCTTGCAAAAAAAAAGGATGATTAGCCCATTACATATTTGTTGACTTGAACACACATTTCAAGAATATGGGCAAAGAGACAGCCCAGATTAGTTTTCCTTTGAAAGTATTATTTTTAATAGAAAAATAACAGTTATATACGTTTATGGGTCACAATGTGATGTTTCGATACATGTGTATGTTGTGGAATGAAGAAAGTAGCCTAATTAGCATATTCTTTAGCTCAAATATTTATTTTTTGTTTGTCGAGAACATTCAAAATTATTTTTTTCTTAGCTATTTGGAACTATACAGTAATTATTCTTGACAGGAGGATTGCATGAAGTTGGCCAGACAGCCAAAAAGAATCAGATTATCTCCAGAAATTTCTATGTACCTTTGGGTATGACTGCATCTTGCGGTAGCTACCTTAAATTAATGTAGCACAGGTTTTAAATGCCATTTAGTTTTACCTTTCTAGTTTTAAAGTTTTGGTTATGACTCATTCATCCTATGACCTTGGACCTGTTTCCTGACATAATTGAATTCTGCGCTTTATTGTTTGTTTCAAATTAAGACCTCTTTGCTACATATAAAGATTTCCTGTTAGGGTTGCCCTTTATGATAAATTATATTACCACTGAGTGATTGTTTAATAAAAATTTCAATCTCATTCCAAACACATCAAGGAGTTCCCAGGGACCAGTTTCATATACTCAGGATCCTGATAAATGCAGTGGGAACCCTCTTTATTAAAGACAGGCTGTAAAACATGCTATTGATGAAAGTATTAACAGCATATGGTATCAAAGTGGGAGAAAAATCAGAGTCCAGCTGGAATAGAACTTTGCTTCATTTATTTGATGCTCACTTGGGTGATTTCATGATCTTGGCCCCACAAATATTACAATTGCTTCCTCTGGAGGCCTATCTGGATGTATTTTTAAGGGTTATAGACTGAAGCTGAGAACGTGACCACAGAAGATTTATTCTAAAGACTTTCTATGAAAACCACTCATCATCTTCACTAAAAGGGAGGCAGTTTGGATGTGAGTTTAGAAAGATTATTTTTAAAAGTAGCAATACATTTGGTTTGAATTACAGAGCTGAAGGAGGCCAAATATAACTAAATTAGAAACATTGGAATTAAATTGGAACCTAGAAATTCATAAGCCAGAGGAATATAACCAACATATCTACTCACATATTAGGTCTCCCTCTGATTAGATGCACAATAGTGTACCAGGGTGGGAGGTGCCATCCCATTTAAACATCATGACAAAACCTGCAGCCCCACCTTTTTATGTGGAACACAAGCAACTATAACATCAGAGCCGTGGGTTCTTCTAGTATAACACATGCTAAGAATCTCCAGCAGGGAGAAAAATATCCCATTCCTCTTGATAAACTGACATTGGTAAAATGATATTTTCAGATGGATGAAAACTTTGGCATTATATAGCCCATATTTCTTAGACTTGATTTCATGGATCTCTTGTGGAGAGGGGTAGTCAGGGGTTGAGGTTTTTGGCATCATTGGACATCATGAAATATGTAAATAAGATGGCATGTTTGTGTGTATATGAGATTTTATTGTGCAGAAGTATCCGAGAAAGATAAAGAACCATCTGTTTTCTCCCACGGACTCATTTTACAGATGGGAGTACTAAGGACCAGGCTGACTTCCACAGTGTCCCACAGCAAGTAACTGACAGGACTGGCTCTAAATCTTTGAATTATGGCTAATAGATGGGAGCCTGCTTGAGGCACAGGGTCAGGGGCTATAAATTGAAAACCCTAGCATGAAATTAACCTGCAGTTCAGTTTTGTTTGATCTGCATAGTTTTTTATCCATTAGGAAAAGTCACACAAATATCCACATTCTTCTGAAAAATTGCAAGATTTAGCAACACGGATCCCACATTTCCTTGGCATGTGCTCACCAGTTTGACCTAGTCCCTCCCACTTTCTGCTATCATGTGCTCAGCTGCTTTCCTTAGTTACCTGCCTCGCCTGATCCCTGTAACACTTGAGTTTATGATTCTGAGTGTAGAGAGTTCTAACACCTGCTGGGTCTCTTGGGAGGTTTACAAAACTCCTTTGGGTCTGGTTCTGTGTCAGTCAGGGTAGGCTAGTTTTGTTTGTAGTTTATATTAAAAATACCCTTGATACTGTCTGGCTCTGTGTCCCCACCCAAATCTCATCTTGAATTGTAATCCCCACATGTTGAGGGAGGGAACTGTAATCCCCACGTCGTGGGAGGGGGTTGATTGGATCATGGGGGCACTTTCCCCCATGCTGTTCTCATGATAATGAGTTATCATGAGATCTGATAGTTTTATAAGGCAATTTTCCCTGCTCTTGCTGGCTCTTCTCTCTCCTGCCACCATGTGAAGAAGGTCCTTGCTTCCCCTTCACCTTCTGCCATGACTGTTAGTTTCCTGAGGCCTCTCCAGCCATACAGAACTCTGAGTCAATTATACCTCTTTCCTTTATAAACTACCCAGTCTCAGGTGTCTCTTTATAGCAGTGTGAGAACAGACGGATACAGTCCCCAAATTACAATGGCTTAAAAAAAAGACATTTAATTCTTGCTCATAAAACATACCTATCAGGATTGCTGTGATAGTCATTTAGGTATCCAGACTGATGGAGCAGCTGCCATCTCAAATGCTGTGGGCAAGAGCTCTGGATGGTGTCAAATTGGCAATTAAATGGGCGAGCCCAAAAGTGACACATGTTGCATGTGCTCATAGCTCATTGGTCACTACCGGTCACACAGCATCATCCAATCTTAAGGGCTTGGAGGTGTGATCCTATTGTGTGTGCAGAAGGCAGAGGCTGATGAATACTTAGTGAGCACTACTGATTCCTTTTGTCAGCCTTGTGGAAACTGAGTGGTGGGATGTAATTCCTGCATATGTGAGATTGCCTTGGGTCACCTGTGAACACCTTATCTATGATAAAAAAGCACTCTGTGTCTGAGGAACATGGAAGCAGCAAAGTCCATGTGAAGTTCAGGATGTTCTGTGGATATAGAAGCCTGCCATCTGGCCTGAATTCGAGTCCCAGATTTCTCACTGTGTGGTACTGGGAAAATGCTCTGTATATTTGAGTGTCAGTTCTCTCATCTATAACTTAGCATACTAATATCATCTGTCTTTATTAGCATAGTAGCCTAAACTAAGTACTCTAAGCTATAGATGACAGAAATTTCTCACAGCTGTGGAGGCTGGAAGCCTGTGATCAGGGTGCCAGCATGATTGAGTTCTAGCAAGGGCCCTCTTCTGGGTTACAGACTGCCAACTTCTCATTGTATTCCTCTATTTCAGAAAGAGGGTCAAAAATCTCCCTGGGGTCTCTTTTATAAGGGAACTCATCTCAGTCATGAAGTTCCCACCCTCATGACCTCATCACCTCCCAAAAGCTCCATCTCCTAATACCATCTCATGGAGATTAGAGTCTCAACATATGAATCTGGAGGAGAAAAGGACATTCAGTCAATTGCACCATCTTCTGAGTTTTTAGAGATAATTATATTAAATGAATTCAGGGAGTAGGTATGAAGTCCAATATTGTATCTCTATCAGTAGTAGTTGCTATTTTTGAGGGTGCTACATTGTAGTGGCTATAAAATGAGTTCACATGTAGCTATAAGACTTTGGGAAAGTCATCGAACTTCTCTGTGCCTTAATTGACTGACCTTAAAAATGAACAGTACTATGCCTGTGCCTTAAAATCATTATGATGATTCAATGAGGTTTTGTATGAAAAGCACTTCACAAAAATTAAGCACTTGATATATATGGTATACTAGTATTTTAAAAATATCACGTGGATTAGTATGCAGATACACAAATTCTTTCATTTCTTTTTTAAAAAACTCAAAAATACCACTAACAATTCTAGACCAAAGAGGTCTAAAAAGCTCTCTAGGGTCCCTTTTATAAAGATATTAATCCCAGTGATCTCATTAGTCTCATCTACTCTGCTAACCAATATTACCGTCATTTTATTGGAGCATGTTTCTGTCTGAAAATGTTTTTACTTTATAACCTTCTTAGGTATAAGACTCTCTGTTGTCCAGACTACAGGACTTCCTGGTGTTTTCTAATGAGGATGAACTCTATTCTGAGAATTTGGCAGATCTGCTTGTCTTTGACCCACGTGGTACATTTGTGCAGCAGTCAGAAATTTATAACACAGTTCAGGGAGCTGCTGCCAGTATTCATCAGTGCCAAGCTGCTTAGGCAAAAATGTGGGGAACATTTTGTCTTATCTACTCAACTCCTTCCCTAAGAACCTAATGAAAAAATTGACCATAGAGAATCAAGCAATCAAGGAGATTACTATTGCCACAGATCCTCTTGTGAGTATCCCAGACAAGCATAAGCGAAATAGAAGATATTAGAGGCCAAAAGAAAAAAAAAAATCAAGAAATACAGAAAGGGGTGGTTGTCTGTACCTGAAACTTGAATCTCAGTTCTCCAAATATGAAAGTCTTTAAGAACAACACCAAAGGGCAAGCAAGAACACTTTTTGGAAGACTACCAAGAGCTTTATTATTTTATTTCTCCTGACACTACTCTGCAAGATAGTTTTATTTGTTCCCCCATCTTTTTTTTTTTTTTTTTTTTTTTTTTTTTTTTTTGGTTTTTGAGACAGAGTCTCACTTGTCGCCCAGGCTGGAGTGCAGTGGCATAATCTCGGCTCACTGCAACCTCTGCCTCCCAGGTTCAAGCAATTCTCCTACCTCAGCATGCTGAGTAGCTGGGACTACAGGTGCGTGCCACCCATGACTGGCTAATTTTTTGTATTTTCACTAGAGACAGGGTTTCCCCATGTTGGCCAGGTTGGTCTCGAACTCCTGACCTCAAGTGATCCACCCGCCTCAGCCTCCCAAAGTGCTGGGATTACAGGCATGAGCCACCATGGCTGGCCACTTGTTCCCCTTTTATAGATGGGGAAAGTGAGGCCCAGAGAGGTTAAGCAATTGTCTAAGGTCAAGTGGACACATGGTGAATCTTCAATTTATATCAGACCTAACTAGTTCTTTTCACTATACCATGTTGACATGGTTTTGCTGTGTTCCCATAAAAATTTCAACTTGAAGTGTATCTCCCAGAATTTTCATGTGTTGTGGGAGAGACTAGAAGGTGGTAACTGAATCATGGGGCTGGTCTTTCCCATGCTATTCTCGTGATAGTGAATAAGTCTCATGAGATCTGATGGGTTTATCAGGAGTTTCTGTTTTTGCTTCTTCCTCATTCTCTCTTGCTGCCACCCTATAAGAAGTGTCTTTCACCTCTCACCATGATTCTGAGGCCTCCCCAGCCATGTGGAACTGTAAGTCCAATTAAACCTCTTTTTCTTCCTAGTCTTGGGTATGTTTTTGTTAGCAGCGTGAAAATGAACTATTACAGTAAATTGGTACCAGTAGGGTGTGGCGTTGCTGAAAAGATACCCAAAAATGTGGAAGTGACTTTAGAACTAGGTAACAGGCAGAGGTTGGAACAGTTTGGAGGGCTCGGGAGAAGACAGGAAAATGTGGGGAAGTTTGGAACTTCCTAGAGGTTTGTTGAATGGCTTTGCCCAAAATGCTGATAGCGATATGGACAATAAGATCCAGGCTGAGGTGACCTCAGATGGAGATGAGGAACTTGTTTGAAACTGGAGTAAAGGTGAAACTTGTTATGTTTCAGCAAAGGGACTGGAGGCATTTTTCCCCTGCCCTAAGGATTTGTGGAACTTTGAACTTGAGAAAGATGATTTAGGGTATCTGGCAGAAGAAATTTCTAAACAGCAAAGCATTCAAGAGGTGTCTTGGGTTCTTTTAAAGGCATTCAGTTTTATAAGGGAAGCAGAGCATAAAATCTTGAAAAATTTGCAGCCTATGTGACAGAAAAGAAAAATCCATTTTTGGGGGGAGAAGTTCAAGCCAATTATAGAAATGTGCATAAGTAGCATGGAGCTTAATGTTAATCCCCAAGACCATGGGGAAAATGTCTCCAAGCCACGTCAGAGACCTTCATGGCAGCCGCTCCCATCACCTGTCCAGAGGCCCACGAGGAAAAACTGGCTTCGTGGGTCGAGCCCAGGATCCCCGTGCTGTGTGCAGCCTAGGGAGTTGGTACCCTGTGTCTCAGCTGCTCCAGCCATGGCTGAAAGGGGCCAGTGTACATCTCGGGTTGTGGCTTCAGAGGGGGGAATCCCCAAGCCTTGGCAGCTTCCATATGGTGTTGAGCCTATGGGTGCACAGAAGTCAAGAATTGAGGTTTGGGAACCTCCACATAGATTTCAGAGGATGTATGGAAATGCCTGTATGCCCAGGTAAAAGTTTTCTGTAGGGGCGGGGCCTTCATGGAGAACCTCTGCTAGGGCAATGTGGAAGGGAAATGTGGGGTTGGATCCCCCACACAGAGTCCCTACTGGGGCACTGCCTAGTGGAGCTGTGAGAAGAGGGCCACTGTCCTCCAGACACCAGAATGGTAGATCCACTAACAGTTTGCAATGTGCGCCTGGAAAAGCCACAGACGCTCAAGGCCAGACTATGAAAGCAGCCAGTAGGGAAGCTGTATCCTGCAAAGCCACAGGGGCAGAGCTGCTCAAGAACATGGGAACCCACCTCTTGCGTCAGCATGACCTGGATGTGAGATCCGGAGTCAAAGATGATGATTTTGGAGCTTTAAAATTTGACCACCTCACTTGATTTTGTGCTTTCATGGGCCTTGTAACCTCTTTGTTTTGGCAATTTTCTCTCATTTGGAATGGCTGTATTTACCCAATACTTGTACCCCCATTGCATCTAGGAAGTAACTAGCTTGCTTTTGATTTTACAGGCTCATAGGAGGAAGAGACTTGCATTGTCTTAGATGAGACTTTGGACTGTGGACTTTTGGGTTAATGGTGAAATGAGTTAAGACTTTGGGGGACTGTTGGGAAAGCATGATTACTCTTTAAATGTGAGGACATGAGATTTAGAGGGGCCAGAGGCAGAGTGATACGGTTTGACTGTGTCCCCATTCAAATCTCAACTTCAATTGTATCTCCCAGAATTCTCACGTCTTGTGGGAGGGACCTAGGGGGAGGTAACTGAATCATGATGGCTGGTCTTTCCTGTGCTAATCTCATGATAGTGAATAAGTCTCATGAGATCTGATAGGTTTATCAGGAGTTTCCACTTTTGCTTCTTCCTCATTGTCTCTTGGTGCCGCCATGTAAGAAGTGTCTTTTACTTCCTGCCATGATTCTGAGGCCTCCCCAGCCATGTGGAACTGTAAGTTCAATTAAACCTCTTTTTCTTCCCCGTCTCAGGTATATCTTTATCAGCAATGTGAAAATGGACTAATACACGTGTAACTTCTCCTAGCAGGGGAAATGTTAGCTCCCAAATGTCAGCTTCAGAGTCCCCTCAAGATGTGGCCTAGAGAGGTTAATATGTTTCTCAGAGAGACAAAATAATTAGCTGAAGATTTCAGGGCTGGTAAGTTGGGGTACTGGCTCAAAAGCTCACATTCTCTTCCTGGTTCCTGGTTCCATACAGCTCTTCAAATCAGGTAGGGCTGGGTGCAAATAGACTCCTTCAAGCTTCCCCAATCACTGGGAATTTTAGGGACTAATTCAGGAATTTCCCCAATGTGTTTTAGTGCAAAAAGATAAATGCCAAGTGTAGCCAGTTTCTGCTGGCTTTGGAACAAAGAGCTGTGGTGAAAGCCTGCCTTCTAGTCTCCCACTTGGGGGCTGTGCCATACTGTTCCTACACTGCTGAGTGGATTTGCATTTTGAAGGAATCTGCTGGCCAAAGATCACTTTAAGTTTTCATCTGCCTTTTGCAGGGAAATTTGCACTTTCCTGTGCTGACTGAAACAGAGTATAACACCAGTCCTGCCCAGGCAAGCTGCTTCTAGTGAATAGGAAGTGATCAACAATGGATTCCAGGCCGGGGGAGAGAGGTGAGAGGTAAGGTCAGCACATCTGGTTTCTGCCCTCAGACTTCTTTACAGATGAGGGAAAGGTGTGCTCTTTAAAAGGACAGTCAATTACTTATGTATACATGTGCCATGCTGGTGCGCTGCACCCACTAACTGGTCATCTAGCATTAGGTATATCTCCCAATGCTATCCCTCCCCCCCCCACCCCACAACAGTCCCCAGAGTGTGATATTCCCCTTCCTGTGTCCATGTGATCTCATTGTTCAATTCCCACCTATGAGTGAGAATATGTGGTGTTTGGTTTTTTGTTCTTGCGATAGTTTACTGAGAATGATGATGTCCAATTTCATCCATGTCCCTACAAAGGACATGAACTCATCATTTTTTATGACTGCATAGTATTCCATGGTGTATATATGCCACATTTTCTTAATCCAGTCTATCATTGTTGGACATTTGGGTTGGTTCCAAGTCTTTGCTATTGTGAATAATGCCACAATAAACATATGTGTGCATGTGTCTTTATAGCAGAATGATTTATAGCCCTTTGGGTATATACCCAGTAATGGGATGGCTGAGTGCACATGTACCCTAAAACTTAAAGTATAATAAAAACAAAAAGATATCTAGTGTAGAAACATAAAAAAAAATAAAATAAAAATAAAAGGACAGTCAAGCCGGCCCCAGGAGATCTCAGCTGCCCCCTACCCAGGAGATGTCAGGCTTCTTCAGCTTCAAGCTGGCAGAGGCCCAAGGACTGGTGTGGAAGGACAGAGCAGTTTTCCCATGCGATGGGGAACTTGTTTCAGAGGTGTCAAGAGATCCACACTAAGCCTGGTGCTATAAACTCCAGCTGGTTCCCAACTGAAGTTTTGGGGGGAAGGGGAAGGAGGGTGATTTCTAGGATAGGGGAAATATGCCGTTGGTTGAATATAGGATTTTACTTATCTCGATATGTCTTGGAAAATTTCCTTAGGTTTCAGAAGACTCAGAACCCTCCAGAGTTTCAATTTCAGAGGCTAAGTCTTTGAGGGTCCCATCAAGAAATATAAACAGTACAGCCTGCTGGTGATAAAAACAATGGCAGTAGTGAGGAGAGGAGTATACGGAGGGAAATGTTTCTTCTTGGCTCATGATAGTTCCTTTCTGTGAAAGGGTGCATTGGACAGCAACAGTGGGGCTTCACCTGTAGCATCACTTTCTCTACCTTAGCAAGGAGGAGGGAATTATCTGGTTGGAAAATTTCAGAAAAAAAAACTAGCTCTTCCTTATTGTCCTCTTAGATGTTAACTCATCAGCAGAAATGTGAGTTCTTGCCAGCTTCTCCATGTTGTAAGTCTTATGTGGCACCACTGCCTGGGTTGGCTGTGTTAATCTACCTGCCAGAGGGTTGAGGGTGGGAGTACCTGAAACCGTTGAATCCTGCAAATACAAACCACAGCTTCCATTTAGTCTTTATCTGTCATACAGGTTATAGTTGCACTTTCCAATCTGCAACTCTTATGTCTTGTTTCTGTGCGAAGAATGTGGGTGTGGATGGGCATATTTATTCTGTCCTGTGATAGTTAATTTTATGTGTCAACTTGGTGAGGCTATGGCACCTAGTTGTTTCATCAAACACCAGTCTATATGTTGCTATGAAAATATTTTTAGATGTGATTAACATTTAAATCAGTTGACTTTAAGTAGAGCATATTTGTGTCCATAATGTGGGTAGGCCTCATTCAATCAGTTGAAGGCTTCCAGAGCCAAGACTGAGATTTCCCAAGAAAGCAGCAATTCTGACTCACGACTGCAACATACAAACCCTGCCCAGTTTCCAAACCTACCAACTCAAGGTTGCAACACCAACACAACTGAATTTCCAGCCTGCCAGCTTGCTCTACAGATGTAGACTGGTTAGCTCCCACGGTTGCATAAGCTAATTCCCTGAAATAAATCTCTCTCTCATATATGTCTCCTAATGCTTCTGTTTCTCAGAAGAACTCTGGCTTATACAGTCGCTCATGATCCCTGCACATAATGACTAATAACTGTGGCTGATATCACTGAGTCCTCAACTAATCCTCACAATTACTTACAAGGTAGGCAATAGCATTCCCCCCACTTTAAAGATGGGGAAGCTTAGATGTGAAACAGTTAAGTAACTTGCTCAAGGCTGTGCAACTAGTAAATGGAGATGCAGCATTTGAATTCAAATTTTCCTGAAACCATAACTTACGTGTTTAATTATTATTCCAAGCAGCCTCCAGACCAGAAAAGGAAGTCCTACTCAAAGTTATGATATAGTGCATAGTTAAGTTGAATACACCCATTTGATCATAGTCAAGAGAGGAAAGTCTTTGTCTGTTAGTCTTATGCTCAGTGTTTATAATTTGAGTGTCTCTCTGTCTCGGTGCTGGATGAAAGAAGTACATGTTAAAGCTGATAGTAATAACCCAATGGCTACTTCTCTGGCCAGCCTCATTGGTGCTTCCATCCCTGAGTTTGGGATGTGATGTATGGTTCTGAGTGTCCTTTTTGTAATTTTTACTCTAATATTTAGCATAATCAACAATTCTCAATGATGGCTATAGGAAGCTCACATACCAGCAAGGATAGAGGCATGAAGAAATCAAAGAATCCTCATTGATAAAATTCACCTTTGAGGATTTATTCATACATTCGTCTGTCTCTTCATACATTTATCTGATAGTCGACCAGAAAGGTTATTGGGAAGTTATTCTGTGCGTGTATTTTTATTTCATTCATTCACTTCTTAAGAAATGAAATTATTATTAAATACTCTGTCTCGCTAGGTGGATTCTCCTAAATTCACCCTCGTGTTCACACCCTGCCTTCAACTTCTCTCACATCTACCTCTTGGAAATGTACCTAACCCGTTTCTATTCCCTCGGAGCCTTGCACTATATTTTCCATGATGATATTTGATAAACTAATACAGAGAAATGGATTAATGGAATTGAATGGCATAATGGTTAACACATACTCACTTTAAGTGAGTTTTTTTAAAAGCACATCATCTTGATGCAGAAGCAATAACTTTTATGATGGACACTTTAGGCAATACATTGAATGGTTTTCGTCTGATGAGCCTTCCCAGTGTCCATTCAATCTCACTAACCATGTTGAGGGTAGCACTACCATTTTATCAGAAGCCAGCAATATGTCATCTTGCACGACATATTACTTGTTCATAGGATGATTTTGTCATAAAATAAAAAGAACCAAATAAGTATTTGCATTAAGAAACTATGTAAGGAAAAAATGATTGAAAGAGGCCAACAGACTTCAAAGTGTCTCCTCTCTGGCTTCATAAAAATACTACTTTACTCCTTTGACAGACACTGAAGCTGCTTAATTAATAGCCATATTCCTGAACCAACATTTTGGTTAGGATGTAATTCCCACCAATATTTTGGTTAGGTTGTCTAGGTAAAAGACTGTATTTCCCATGCTCCATGTATCTAGCTATTAGGGTTTTTCTTCTAGGAAGGTTCTACAAGTAATGCTGACTCAGCTAAGAGGTGTTTCCTTTTGTTTTTCCCTCTTCTTCCTACCTGCAAAGCAGACATAAAGGCTGTAGATTCAGCAGCCATTTTGGAACATGAAGCAATGTTAAGAATTGAAGACATATAATAGTATTGTAGAGTGTAAAGATACGGAGAGTTTGGGTCCTTCGTGAGCAGGGAATTATTCCCTCCATATTGAACTACCTACATCCAGAATTCTTTGATGTAAAGAAGATATACATTTCTGTCTCACTTCAAACTTCTTCAGTTTTTGTTTCCATGTATGTGTTCTACTCATCTCAATCTGAAGACGACTAACACATCCCCCAAGTTTATCATTAAAACCTATGAACTATATTATTCCAATAATAATGTTTCTTTGGCCAGGTGTGGTGGCTCATGCCTGTATTCCCAGCACTTTGGGAGGCTGAGGTGGGTGGATCACGAGGTCAGGAGATTGAGAGCATCTTAGATAAAACAGTAAAACACCATCTCTACTAAAAATACAAAAAAAATTAGCCAGGCGTGTTGGCAGGTGCCTGTAGTCCCAGCTACTTGGGAGGCTGAGGCAGGAGAATGGCATGAACCCAGGAGATGGAGCTTGCAGTGAGCCGAGATCATGACACTGCACTCCAGCCTGGGTGACAGAGTGAGACTCCAATTCAAAACAAAACAAAACAAAACAAAAATAATGTGGGCAGCGGTTCCAAGATGGCTGAACAGGAACAGCTCCAGTCTACAGCTCCCAGCATGAGCGACACAGAAGATGGGTGATTTCTGCATTTCCAACTGAGGTAAAGGGTTCATCTCACTGGGGCTTGTCAGACAGTGGGTAGAGGACAGTGGGTGCAGTGCGCCAAGCATGAGCCAAAGCAGGGTGAGGCATTGCCTCACCCGGGAAGTGAAAGGGGTCAGGGAATTCCCTTTCCTAGCCAAGCAAAGCTGTGACAGACAGCATCTGGAAAATCGGGTCACTCCCACCCTAATACTGCACTTTTCCAATGGTCTTAGCAAATGGCACACCTGGAGATTTTATCCAGTGCCTGTCTTGGAGGGTTCCAAGCCCGCGCAACCTTGCTCATAGCTAGCACAGCAGTCTGAGATCAAACTGCAAGGCAGCAGTGAGGCTGGGAGAGGGGCACCCACCATTGCTGAGGCTTAAGTAGGTAAACAAGTGACTGGGAAACTCAAACTTGGTGCAGCCCACCGCAGCTCAAGGAAGCCTGCCTGCCCCTGTAGACTCCACCTCTGGGGGCAGGGCATAGCCAAACAAAAGGCAGCAGAAACCTCTGCAGACTTCAATGTCCCTGTCTGACAGCTTTGAAGAAAGAAGTGGTTCTCCCAGCATGGAGTTTGAGATCTGAGAATGGACAGACTCCCTCCTCAACTGGGTCCCTGAATCCCAAGTAGCTTAATTGGGAGGCACCCCCCAGTAGCGGCTGACTGACACTTCATATGATCAGGTACCCCTCTGAGACGAAACTTCCAGAGGAACAATCAGGCAGCAATAATTGCTGTTCAGCAATATTTGCTGTTCTGCAGCCTCCCCTGCTGATACCCAGACAAACAGGGTCTGAAGTGGACCTCCAGCAAACACCAACAGACCTGCAGCTGAGTGTACTGACTGTTGGAAGGAAAACTAACAAACAGAAAAGACATCCACACCAAAACCCCATCTGTACATCACCATCATCAAAGACCAAAAGTAGATAAACCGCAAAGATGGGGAAAAAACACAGCAGAAAAGCTGAAAATTCTAAAATTCAGAGCATCTCCCCCCCTACAAAGGAATGCAGCTTCTCACCAGCAATGGAACAAAGCTGGAGAGAGAATGACTTTGACGAGTTGAGAGAAGACAGCATCAGATGATCAAAATTCTCCAAGCTAAAGGAGGAAGCTCAAACCCATCACAAATAAGGTAAAAACCTTGAAAAAAGATTAGGCGAATGCCTAACTAGAATAACCAGTGTAAGTAAGTCCTTAAATTCTCTACATAGATTGACCTGATGGAGCTGAAAACCATGGCACGAGAACTACATGATGAATCCACAAGCTTCAGTACCCAATTCGATCAACTGGAAGAAAGGGCAGAAGTGACAGAAGATCACATGAATGAAATGAAGTAAGAAGAGAAGTTTAGAGAAAAAATAATAAAAAGAAATGAACAAAGCCTCCAAGAAATATGGTACTATGTGAAAACACCAAATCTACGTCTGATTGGTGTACCTGAAAGCCATGGGGAGAATGGAACCAAGTGAGAAAACACTCTGCAGGATATTATCCAGGAGAACTTCCCCAACCTAGCAAGGCAGGCCAACATTCAAATTCAGAAATACAGAGAATGTCACAAAGATACTCCTTGAGAAGAGCAACTCCAAGACACATAATTGTCAGATTCACCAAAGTTGAAATGAAGGAAAAAATTTTAAGGGCAGCCAGAGAGAAAGGTCGGGTTACCCACAAAGGGAAGCCCATAAGACTAACAGCTGATCTCTCAGCAGAAACTCTACAAACCAGAAGAGAGTGGGGGCCAATATTCAACATTCTTAGAGAAAAGAATTTTTAGCCCAGAATTTCATATCCAGCCAAACTAAGCTTCATAAGTGAAGGAGAAATAAAATCCTTTACAGACCAGCAAAGGCTGAGAGATTTTGTCACCACCAGGCTGGCCCTAAAAGAACTCTTGAAGAAAGCACTAAATATGGAAAGGAACAACTGGTACCAGCCACTGCAAAAACATGCCAAATTGGAAAGTGCATCGATGCTAGGAAGAAACTGCATGAACTAATGAGCAAAATAACCAGTTAACATCATAATGACGGGATCAAATTCACCCATAACAATACTAACCTTAAATGTAAATGGGCTAAATGCCCCAATTAAAAGACACAGACTGGCAAATTGGATAAAGAGTCAAGACCCATCAGTCTGCTGTATTCAGGGGACCCATATCACGAGCAGAGACACACATAGGCTCAAAATAAAGGGAAGGAGGAAGGTCTACCAAGCAAATGGAAAACAAAAAAATGCAAGGGTTGCAATCCCAGTCTCTGATAAAACAGATTTTAAACCAACAAAGATCAAAAGAGACAAAGAAGGCCATTACATAATGGTAAAGGGATCATTTCAACAAGAAGAGCTAACTATCCTAACTATATATGCACCCAATACAGAAGCACCCAAATTCATAAAGCAAGTCCTTAGAGACCTACTAGGAGACTTAGATTCCCACCAAATAATAATGGGAGACTCTAACACCCCACTGTCAACATTAGACAGATCAACAACACAGAAAGTTAACAAGGATATCCAGGAATTGAACTCCCCTCTGCACCAAGCGGACCTAATAGCCATCTACAGAACTCTCCACCCCAAATCAACAGAATATACATCCTTCTCAGCACCACATCGCACTTATTCCAAAATTGACCACATAGGTGGAAGTAAAGCACTCCTAAAGAAATGTAAAAGAATAGAAATTATAACAAACTGTCTCTCAGACCACAGTGCAATCAAACTAGAACTCAGGATTAAGAAACTCACTCAAAAGCGCTCAACTACATGGAAACTGAACAACCTGCTCCTGAGTGACTACTGGGTACATAATGAAATGAAGTCAGAAATAAAGATGTTCTTTGAAACCACTGAGAACAAAGACACAACATACCAGAATCTCTGGGACACATTTAAAGCAGTGTGTAGAGGAAAATTTATAGCACTAAATGCCCACAAGAGAAAGTAGGAAAGATAAAAAATGGACACCCTAACGTCACAATGAAAAGAACTAGAGAAGTAAGAGCAAACACATTCAAAAGCTAGCAGAAGGCAAGAAATAACTAAGATCAGAGCAGAACTGAAGGAGATAGAGGCACAAAAAACCCTTCAAAAAATCAATGAATCCAGGAGCTGGTTTTTTGAAAAGATCAACAAAATTGATAGACCACTAGCAAGACTAATAAAGAAGAAAAGAAAGAAGAATCAAATAGACACAATAAAAAATGGTAAACGGGATATCATAACTGATCCCACAGAAATATAAACTGCAATCAGAGAATACTATAAACACCTCTATTCTAATAAACTAGAAAATCTAGAAGAAATGGATAAATTCCTGGACACATACACCATCCCAAGACTAAACCAGGAAGAAGCTGAATCTCTGAATAGACCAATAACAGACTCTGAAATTGAAGCAATAATTAATAGCCTACCAATCAAAAAAAGTTCAGGACCAGACGGATTCACAGCAATATTCTACCAGAGGTATAAGGAGGAGCTGGTACCATTCCTTCTGAAACTAGTCCAATCAACACAAAAAGAGGGAATTCTCCCTAACTCATTTTATGAGGCCAGCATCATCCTGTTACCAAAGCCTGGCAGAGACACAACCAAAAAAGAGAATATTAGACCAATATCCTTGATGAACATTGATGCAAAAATCCTCAATAAAATACTCACAAACCAAATCCAGGAGCACATCAAAAAGCTTATCCACCATGATCAAGTTGGCTTCATCCCTGGGATGCAAGGCTGTTTCAACATATGCAAATCAACAAATGTGATCCAGGATATAAACAGAACCAAAGACAAAAAACACAAGATTATCTCAATAGATGCAGAAAAGGCCTTTCTCAAAATTCAACCACGCTTCAAGCTAAAAACTCTTAATAAATTGGGAATTGATGGGATGTATCTCAAAATAATAAGAGCTATCTATGACAAACCCACAGCCAATATCATACTGAATGGGCAAAAACTGGAAGCATTCCCTTTGAAAACTGGAACAAGACAGGGAAGCCCTCTCTCGCCACTCCTTTTCAACATAGTGTTGGAAGTTCTGGCCAGGGCAATCAGGCAGGAGAAAGAAGTAAAGTGTAATCAATTAGGAAAAGAGGAAGTCAAATTGTCCCTGTTTGCCAATGACATGATTGTATATCTAGAAAACCCCATTGTCTCAGCCCAAAATCTCCTTAAGCTGATAAGCAACTTCAGCAAAGTCTCAGGATATAAAATCAATGTGCAAAAATCACAATGATTCTTATACAACAATAACAGACAAACAGAGAGCCAAATCATGAGTGAACTCCCATTCACAATTGCTTCAAAGAGAATAAAATACCTAGAAATCCAACTTACAAGGGATGTGAAGGACCTCTTCAAGAAGAACTACAAGCCACTGCTCAATGAAATAGAAGAGGACACAAACAAATGGAAGAACATTCCATGCTCATGGATAGGAGGAATCAATATAGTGAAAATGGCCATACGGCCCAAGGTAATTTATAGATTCAATGCCATCCCCATCAAGCTAGCAATGACTTTCTTCACAGAACTAGAAAAAACTACCTTAAAGTTCATATGGAACCAAAAAGAGGCTGCATTGCCAAGTCAATCATAAGCCAAAAGAACAAAGCT
Organism: Homo sapiens; assembly: GCF_000001405.40. Lineage (NCBI taxonomy): Eukaryota > Metazoa > Chordata > Mammalia > Primates > Hominidae > Homo > Homo sapiens. Next base: position 50,153,561 of record NC_000011.10, read on the forward strand.
GGAGGCATCATGCTACCTGACTTCAAACTATACTACAAGGCTGCAGTAACCAAAACGGCATGGTACTGGTACCAAAACACAGATATAGACCAACAGAACAGAACAGAGCCCTGAGAAATAATACCACACATCTACAACTTTGTGATCATTGACAAATCTGATAAAAACAAGAAATGGGGAAAGGATTCCCTATTTAATAAGTGGTGCTGGGAAAACTGACTAGCAACATGTAGAAAGGTGAAACTGGATCCCTTCCTTACACTTTATACAAAAATTAATTCAAGGTGGATTAAAGACTTAAATGTTAGACCTAAAACCATAAAAACCCTAGAAGAAAACCTAGACAATACCATTCAGGACATGGGCATGGGCAAAGACTTCATGTCTAAAACACCAAAAGCAATGGCAACAAAAGCCAAAATTGACAAATGGGATCTAATTAAACTAAAGAGCTTCTGCACAGCAAAAGAAACTACCATCAGAGTGAACAGGCAACCTACAGAATGGGAAAAAGCTTTGCAATCTACTTATCTGACAAAGGGCTAATATCCAGAATCTACAAAGAACTCAAACAAATTTACAAGAAAAAAAAAACCCGTCGACAAGTGGGTGAAGGATATGAACAGACACTTCTGAAAAGAAGACATTTATGTAGCAAATAGACACGTGAGAAAATGCTCATCATCACTGGCCATCAGAGAAATGCAAATCAAAACCATAATGAGATACCATCTCACACCAGTTAGAATAGCGGTCATTAAAAAGTCAGGAAACAACAGGAGCTGGAGAGGATGTGGAGAAATAGGAACACTTTTGCACTGTTGGTGGGACTGTAAACTACTTCAACCATTGTGGAAGACAGTTTGGTGATTCCTCAAGGATCTAGAACTAGAAATACCATTTGACCCATCCATCCCATTACTGGGTATATACCCAAAGGATTATAAATCATGCTGCCATAAACACAAATGCACACATATGTTATGGCACTATTCATAATAGCAAAGACTTGGAACCAACCCAAATGTCCATCAGTGATAGTCTGGATTAAGAAAATGTGGCACATATACACCATGGAATACTATGCAGCCATAAAAAAGGATGAGTTCCTGTCCTTTGTTGGGACATGGATGAAGCTGGAAACCATCATTCTCAGCAAACTATCACAAGGACAAAAAACCAAACACCGCATGTTCTCACTCATAGGTGGGAATTGAACCATGAGAACACTTGGACACAAGAAGGGGAACATCACACACCAGGGACTGTTGTGGGGTGGGGGGAGGGGAGAGGGATAGCATTAGGAGATATAACTAGTGTAATTGACGAGTTAATGGGTGCAGCACACTAACATCGCACATGTATACATATGTAACAAACCTGTGCATTGTGAACATGTACCCAAGAACTTAAAGTATAATAAAAAAATTTAAAAAAAATGTTTCATTAATGGAGCCAGTCTGATATCTTGAGTTTATTCACAGCTAACTGTTCTACCTGGTTAGTGTGAACAGAGAACAAGTTTCTGTACATTTTGACTCCTGGCTCTGTGAACATGTTTTTTTGAACATGCATCCTTAATTTTCTTTGTTGTCTTATTGTTGCTACTCACTGACTGTTCAATGTACCTTTAAAGAAGTCACTGTTCAGAGAATGTAACTTTCACTTTAGATGAAAAGCTACTTACTCATTCTCTTCCTTCCCCTTCCTCCCCATCCCCTCAGCTCCTGAATTTGAGTAAAATTATGCCCAATGTAATTTATTGTGGTGTTTTCCCCTTCTTCTAAACAATATCTGTGTTGGAGAATTGAACACCTGTAAAACGTTTGTTATTCTCACTTGTCCTAATCAGGAATTCAATAAAAAGGCATTCTGAAATCTTGGAAATACTGAGGTTTTTCTGAACTTAAACTGATCTCTTAAACCAGTTAGTTGAGCAAGGCCAGAGAAGCCCTCAGAAAAAAATCATGAAAACAAAATTAAATTGAACACAAAAAACAATTTGCTGGAGGTGAAACTAATTCACAATTTGCCTCCTCTGGAAAAGAGTATTCAGCCTTGGCCCCATACCAATGAGAGCTCCATGTGATAATCTATAGGATTGCACAACTCCTCTTAGGACAGTAATGAAAGGAAAAGTAACATTTGTTCTGCCAAAGTATGTGGACTTGCTGACATTTGCTGAAATATAGATAGCATCTGAGTGAACAGGATGTTTTCCTGAAGGTGCTTTGGAGAGGCAGTAGGTTACATATCTTTTCCATACATATATAAGGCAGCTTGAATTTCTGGTAATTGTGAGGGCTTGACCCTTGTAACTATTTCCAATAGAGACCTGGTGGCTTTTGGACTTTGTCAAGATCATCTGATGATATACACAATCTGGTGAGAAACTTGCCTTTGTGATTTTCAGCAATGTTTGTCTATTTCTCCCCATTCCTCATTGGAATGATGATTTAAGGGAGACAGAATCTGGAATTACTGGTGGGGAGGGGAGTCAGCAGACTTTAAATCAAGTGTACCTGTCATTTAAATTGCCTGATTTTAGATTGAACAAAGGAAACATGCTGGGAAACTTTGGGGGAAAATATTCTACATTTTATATTCTCTGATGCAGCAAATGGGGGAAGATTTTAAACTGATGGAGATTAGGTTGTGAAAATTTTCTCCCATTTTGTAGGTTGCCTGTTCACTCTGATGGTAGTTTCTTTTGCTGTGCAGAAGCTCTTTAGTTTAATTAGATCCCATTTGTCAATTTTGGCTTTTGTTGCCATTGCTTTTGGTGTTTTAGACATGAAGTCCTTGCCCATGCCTATGGACTGAATGGTAATGCCTAGGTTTTCTTCTAGGATTTTTATGGTTTTAGGTCTAAGGTTTAAGTCTTTAATTCATCTTGAATTAATTTTTGTATAAGGTGTAAGGAAGGGATCCAGTTTCAGCTTTCTATACATGGCTGGCCAGTTTTCCCAGCACCATTTATTAAATAGGGAATCCTTTCCCCATTGCTTGTTTTTCTCAGGTTTGTCAAAGATCAGATAGTTGTAGACATGCAGCATTATTTCTGAGGGCTTTATTCTGTCTACTCATCTGACAAAGGGCTAATATCCAGAATCTACAATGAACTCCAACAAATTTACAAGAAAAAAACAAACAACCCCATGAAAAAGTGGGCGAAGGATATGAACAGACACTTCTCAAAAGAAGACATTTATGCAGCTCAAAAACACATAAAAAAATGCTCACCATCACTGGCCATCAGAGACATGCAAATCAAAACCACAATGAGATACCATCTCACACCAGTTACAATGGCAATCATTAAAAAGTCAGGAAAAAAAAGGTGCTGGAGAGGATGTGGAGAAATAGGAACACTTTTACACTGTTGGTGGGACTGTAAACTAGTTCAACCATTGTGGAAGTCAGTGTGGCGATTCCTCAGGGATCTAGAACTAGAAATACCATTTGACCCAGCCATCCCATTACTGGGTATATACCCAAAGGATTATAAATCATGCCGCTATAAAGACACATGCACACATATGTTTATTGTGGCATTATTCACAATAGCAAAGACTTGGAACCAACCCAAATGTCCAACAATGATAGACTGGATTAAGAAAATGTGGCACATATACACCATGAAATACTATGCAGCCATAAAAAATGATGAGTTCATGTCCTTTGTAGGGACAGGGATGAAATTGGAAATCATCATTCTCGGTAAACTATCACAAGGACAAAAAATCAAACACTGCATGTTCTCACTCATAGGTGGGAATTGAACAATGAGAGCACATGGACACAGGAAGGGGAACATCACACTCTGGGAACTGTTGTGGTGTGGCTGGAGGGGGGAGGGATAGCATTATGAGATATACCTAATGCTAAATGACGAGTTCATGGGTGCAGCACACCAGCATGGCACATGTATACATATATAACTAACCTGCACATTGTGCACATGTGCCTTAAAACTTAAAGTATAATAATAATAATAAAAAAAGAATGGGGTCATTTTTGAACTGCTTAATATTAATTAAACCTTAAAATAAACTAAAATTATCTGTAACAAAAATGTTGCTCATTGAAAAAAAAATTAAAAATAAAAATAAAATGATGGAGATTGACACCTATTCACATTGGATATTTCCATGGCAGAAGGCTCCAGGGATGGATTTGTAGAAGGCAAAATACATGAAACTTGACAGCTAATGGCTAGTCTGAACAGTCTTACCTAGATGATATGCTGTATTTCAGGTATTTCTGGGCCTTTCATTGTTGGGAGATTCAGATCTCCAGTAGGCTTTGAGGGATGAAAAGGAGATAGTTTCCAGCTAAGAATACAGTAGACATTGAGTATAATTAAGGTGAAACAGAGATGAATGGTACTATACATATGGTAAAATCATCTCAGGATGAAATATGGTGAAACACTCAGAAGCAGAAAAATGAGCAGAAATGGACAAATTATTCAGTAACACAGTCAATAAGGACTTGGCCAACAGGCATCAAAATATTAGAGGATCAAAAAAAAACCTTAAGGAATTAGAATATGTGTTTTGGTAATATCTATTCCTTATATTTTAGGGATAGATACATGGGTGTGTATGTATTCCATTAAGTATATGGGAAGTTATGACTGACAACACAACTGCAGGAGTTTTCATGTAAAGATAGATTAGATTTGATAGCTTCAAATTCATTTTTAATAATTGTTTTATTCATTAGTAAATAGAAGGACCCAATTTAAACTCCTTATTTGTAGTATTACAAGGAAAAAAGTAGCCCTCTCTAATATGACAACAAGGGTTTAAAGATCATGTATAGTAGGGTCAGTTGTAGGGAAAGGAATTATAAGTAATTGAAAATATTGTGCTAGAAAGGGCCTTTGATATTACAATGATGTAAAGTCTTAAGAGTTAAACTGGAATGTAGCAGTCACACAGTCATGTTTGGATGGGTAGTTTGGATAGTGTAGTTGTCATCGAATCCAATCTAATAGTCATCAAATGAAGTCCAATTCAGATTGATGAATACACGTATGATGCTCACTGTGTACCATGTACTGTGTTAGTTGTGGTGAAGTCAAAAATGAATGTTAGAGCACCTGTTTCTAAGAAACTTATAGTCCACTGAAGGCACAGGGTAGACGTGGAAGATATTATAAGTAGTAAACTGTGGAAAGTGACAGGGTAGAATGTATGTAAGGAGACATATGCATTTGTAGAACATGTATGAGGTACAGAAATAACATCATAAGAGAACAGTAACATTGTCTTCTGAGTATGACTTTTCTTAGGTTGAGGGGTTAGGGAAAATGGGAAATTTTAGGAAAGAATTTCCACCTGAGCTTTTTAAAGATGAAAAGGAGCAAGTCGGAGACATTCTAGCATGGTGATATGGTTTGGCTGTGTCCCCACCCAAATCTCATCTTGAATTGTAGCTCCCATAATTCCCACATGTCATGGGAGGGACCCAGTGGCAGGTAATTGAATAATGGGGGCGGGTCTTTCCTGTATTGTTCTTATGATTGTGAATTAGTCTCATGAGATCTGATGGTTTTATAAAGAGATCCCCTGCACAAGCTCTCTTGCTTGCTGCCATGTAAGATGTGCCTATGCTCCTCCTTTGCCTTCTACCATGATCGTGAGTCCTCTCCAGCCATGTGGAACTGTAAGTCCATTAAATCCCTTTCCTTTATAAATTACCCAGTCTCAGGTATGTCTTTATTAGCAATGTATGGACTAATACAGAAGGACAGCAGGAAAATAACTGGAGAATATTGATTTAAACATTTGCTTTCCTCAAGGAATGAAAATAGAACCAGATCATCCATTCATCTCTCTTTCAGATCCAGTATTAAGAATCTAGAATTTCATGGGTCTGGTGACAATTTTGGTTTTGGATATTCATTTTGTTCATTTTCACCATTTTTGATAGAATTGAACTGAAAAATGCATCTGATGCTAAAAGTTTGAAAGAACTTTTGAGATCATCTTTGACTACTTTATATCATTTATTCATTTATTTTGAAAAACATTATTGAGAATCTACTCTGTGCCATGCTGTTGGGCACTATTTTAAACACTTAGAATACATCGAGAAAGAGAAAGATGTCTTTGCTCTCATGAAGCTCATGCTCTAAGAGGGAGTGACAGACAATAACTAAAACACATTAGAAATATGTGAATATTACAGTTTGTCAAAAGGCAATAAATGCCAAGGGAGAAAAATCAGAGCATGTTATATTTAGGTGGATATATGTCCCAGTTTGACCAAGGCAGCCTTAGTTTATTCCTGTTGTGCCAGCATAACAATTAGCACCATCCCCTTTAACTCTAAAACTTATGCTGGTTTACTTTAGATAATATATAAATTCATAACTGTAGTTAGTGGGAATCAGGTGTGTACGTGTGCACATTCTGGGCCACAGAACAATTGAACGTGCTGATCCAGCTAAGTCTCATTGAGTAGGGTCTTGAGCAAAGACCTGAAGAAAGTGAGAGATTGAGCCACACATGTATCTCAGTGAAGATTGCTCCAGGCAGAGAAACAGAAAATCAATTAGGGCAAGGTTCTAAAGTTTTAAGGAATGCAGGGCTGGGAGTGTGTGGTGGGGGGTTCATGAATTAACAAGGGGCAAGCTGTAGGAGATGAGGCCAGAGAAGGTAGGGGTAGGGAGCAGAGAGTGTAGAACACTAGGTCATCAGAGGAGAGTTGAGTTTTTCTCTGAGTGATGGGAAGGCATTGGGGGTTTCTATATGGGAAGTGTATAATCTGACTTTATTTTAAAAGTATCACTTTGTGGAGTCTGTTCTTCGTGAAATATACACTTTAATGTGTAAAAGTTAAGGCAAATTGTATAAGTAGGAGACCCCACAGTACACTAAGGAAGAGATTCTCGTGGCTTGGAACAGGGTTGTGGCACTGGAAGAGGTGAGAAGCAGTCAGATTCTGGAGATGTTATCAGCCAATAGAATTTCCTACTGGACAGGATATGAGGTGATGAGCTCCTCATATCTTGCAGCAATAACAAAAGATTGCTTCCAGGACTAGTTCAACAAATAATTTGGTGTTTTGTTTTAACTGAGCACTTTAAAAAGAAGCACTTCTCCCACCTTGTTTCAAAGCCATGCCTCCTGTATTAGTCCATTTTCATGCCGCTGATAAAGACATACCCAAGTCTGGGCAATTTACAAAAGAAAGAAGTTTATTGGATTTACAGTTCCACGTGGCTGGGGAGGCCTCACAATCCTGGCAAAGGTGAAAGGCACGTCTCGCGTGGTGGCAGGCAAGAGAAGAGACCTTGTGCAAGGAAACTCCCGTTTTTAAAACCATAAGATCTTGTGAGACTCATTCACTATCATGACATCAGCACAGGAAAGACCTGCCCCCATAATTTAACTACTTCCCACCAGGTTCCTCCCATGACTCATGGGAATTCAAGATGAGATTTGAGTGGGGACACAGCCAAACCATATCGCCTCACCTTTCAAAGCATCTGCAAAATGATGAACCCCATTAAAATTTAGTTGCATACATAGCTGCTTCTGTCTGGTAAATAGTGAAAATATTTCCAATGTGGATAGTTTTGGTGAATTGCAATGTGCTGTATGTAAGAAAGAGAGCATTTTGCTAAACAAAGGACTTTCCAAACAGTAGCAAATACGTAACGAATGTGTTTAATGATATGTTTACATTTTGAAATGTTGGAAAGTGTTGATGGTGGGACATCCACACAGTAAGTAGAGGCCAGAGTCTGCAGCTCTGCCCTTGTGGCTAACTGTGCAACTGTCATCACATTCTTTGACCCTCTGAGATGAATACCTTTCATTGTAAATGGGGCATTTTATTGCGATTACAGTTCTATGTTTTTGTGTTTACTGTGCTTTCAGCTCTGACATTCTGTGACTCTGAACAGCTTAGGGGCTGTTAAGAGATACAGACTGACATTTAGTATCCTGAGCTCTCATAGCACTTTGTGAGATTGTTATGGTTATCTTAGTCCTCTTATTTGAATACTTTTGCAAATTGCAGTCTAGGACTGATATCTTTTCTAACAATGCATTATTCCCATGGGCCATAATTTAGAGGTGCCCTTATCATGCTGATTAAGAAGATAGGCATGTTTTTAAATTGGATAAAATAGTGCCTACATCCCAGGAATGTTGTGTCATTGTATAAAAAATAAGAGTGATAATTAGTAACAATTATTATAAGCAATGTTTGAATATTTACTATGAGGTGTCTTACGTGGAATCTTTTATTTAATTCTAAGCACAAAACAAACAAGACTCTATGGGTAGGTACTCTTCATATTCATTTTAGAGAGGAGAAAGCAGAGCTAGAGAACTGAATAACTTGCCCAAAGTAAGAAAATTTGCAAGTGGCAGTATCAGGATTAGAACACAGGCAGCTGGCCTCCAGACCATGCACCATCCCAACCACCATACTTTACCCCTCTCAGTGCACAGATGGGTTTAGCCCATCATCTGACAATAGTGAGAACTCAATAAATGGAAACTATTGTGATGCCATATATTATTGCAGTGGGAATTCAATACCTGCTGGGTAATCAATGAATCTGTGAGTCATCTACACTGAGGCATTGAGGTGATAATTTGAAATCAGGAAGAAATGAGCTCATGCAGGGGAGAGGGCAGAGAAGGGTTGAGGACTGAAATTTGGAGGATGAATAACCATGTGCCCTAATGCACACTTGGATGGTGTTCAACCTTGAAATGACTATTCTTAAAACCTGCAGCAGAAACAAATGTTTCCTTCCAGGTCTGCTTGAGTGACTCTTGGATTTTGGTTCCAGCTCTTTAAAACTGTTTCTCCCACTCTGCTTCAAAGTCATGTCTTCCCTTTCAAAACATTTGCAATACAATAAATCCTACGTCCAAAGAGTCTATTGAAGTTTAGTTGCAAACATAACCACTTCTGTCCGGTGAAGATTAACAATGTTTCTGATATGGATAGTCCTGATTAATTGCTGTTGAAACTCCTGAGCTGAGTGTCAAAGCTGGAAAATGAACTCTTAAATGCACTCAAAAGACAAGAGCCCCCTGTATCCTTGAACAAAATCCAATTAAAGAGATTGCAAAGGAAAACACAAGAGACAGTATTAAATTCATGGTGATATGAAAGTTTCTTCTTCCGTTTTTGAAAAACCACCAGGTCATTGTTCACTAACAGACCTCTTTGATATTGACCTGCCTGATAAGTAAAAAAAAACATCTTTCTAAAACATTACTCTTGACTTCTCTTGTTAAACATACATTAGTCCTACAAAATTCTGGTTTGCAAATCCTGATGCTCAAAGTCATCCTAAAAGAACTAAGGGGAAAGGAAAACTCAGTCAAGAAAATAGAAGTGCTTAATTGTTTGTAATGTAGATTTTTAGATAAGGGGAGTATTAGTTGGTAATGTCCATTGGTGAACTGGCATCCTACTGTGTCCGGAATTGGTGGGTTATTGGTCTCACTGACTTCAAGAATGAAGCCGCGGATGCTTGTGATGAGTGTTACAGTTCCTAAAGGCAGCTTGTCTGGAGTTTGTTCCTTCTGATGTTCGGATGTGTTCAGAGTTTCTTCCTTCTGGTGGGTTCGTGGTCTCGCTGGCTCAGGAGTGAAGCTGCAGACCTTTGCGGTGAGTGTTACAGCCTTAAGGTGGTACGTCTGGAGTTGTTCATTCCTCCCAGTGGGTTCATGGTCTCAATGGCTTCAGGAGTGAAGCTGCAGACCTTCGTGGTGTTACAGCTCATAAAAGCAGTGTGGACCCAAAGAGTGAGCAGCAGCAAGATTTATTACAAAGAGCGAAAGAACAAAGCTTGCACAGCGTGGAAGGAGACCCGAGCGGGTTGCCACTGCTGGCTGGGGCAGCCTGCTTTTATTCACTTATCTAGCCCCACCCAGATCCTGCTGATTGGTCCATTTTACAGAAAGCTGATTGGTCCATTTTGACAGGGTGTTGTTTGGTGCCTTTACAATCCCTGAGCTAGACACAAAAGTTCTCCACGTCCCCACTAGATTAGCTAGATGCAGAGTGTTGACACAAAGGTTCTCCAAGTTCCCACCAGAGTAGCTATATACAGAGTGTCCATTGGTGCATTCACAAACCCTGAGCTAGACACAGGGTGCTGATTGGTGTGTTTACAAACCTTGAGCTAGATACAGAGTGCCGATTGGTGTATTTACAATCCCTTAGCTAGACATAAAGGTTCTCCAAGTCCCCACTAGAGTAGCTAGATACAGAGTGTCAATTGGTGCATTTACAAACAGTGAGCTAGACACAGGGTGCTGATTGGTGTGTCCACAAACCTTGAGCTGGATACAGAATGCCAGTTGGTGTATTTACAATCCCTGAGCTAGACATAAAGGTTCTCCACATCCTCACCAGACTCAGGAGCCCAGCTGGCTTCACCCAGTGGATCCCGTACTGGGGCTGCAGGTGGAGCTGCCTGCCAGTCCCGCGCTGTGCACTCACAATCCTCAGCTCTTGGGTGGTCAATGGGAGGGGGCAACATGGAGCAGGGGGCGGCACTCATCGGGGAGACTTGGGCCATTCAGGAGTCCACGGTGGGGGGAGGTTCAGGCATGGCAGGCTGTAAGTCTCAAGCCCTGCCACACCGGGAGGCAGCTAAGGCCCTGCGAGAAGTTGAGCACAGCAGCTGCTGGGCCAGGTGCTAAGCCACTCACTGCCCGGGGCTTGCAGGCTGGGCCGGCGGCTCCGAGAGAAGGGCCTGCTGAGGCCACACCCACCCAGAACTCGCGCTGGCCTGCAAGCACCGAATGCAGCCCTGGTTCCTGCTCACGCCTCTCCCTCCACACCTCCCTGCAAGCTGAGGGAGCTGCCTCCAGCCTTGGTCAGCCCAGAAAGGGGCTCCCACAGTGCAGCAGTGGGCTGGAAGGCTCCTCAAGTGCGGCCAGAGTGGGTGCCACAGCCAAGGAGGCACTGAGAGCAAGCGAGGGCTGCGTGGGCTGCCAGCACGCTGTCACCTCTCACTACCAAGGCCTGGTGTTTGACCTTTTCAGAGCTGTCTCCAAGGAATGACAGGGCACAGGGCATTTCTACCATATGAGTTTTATTGGATGGTAATATTATATCTAAAAAGCTGGATGACCTTGGACAAGTCACTTAATATTTCCATTTTGTTTCATTCTTGAATAACATGAGGATAACACCACCAGTCCTGCTCACAACGAAGTTGTGTTCAAGATGAAATGAGGTAGACATGTAACTGCTTTGTGAACTACAGAGCATGGCGTATGTGTAAGATACCATTATTATTGTTTTTATACAGCTTCTCCATTCTTCCTCATCTGGTCTGGCTAGCTCCTGATGCCATGGGTAGCAATTTTATGGGAAACTTGGGGCACAAAATTACAGAGGTGTTTGATGTCTTCACTCTGGAAGTCTGTTTTAAGCTCATGATTGTTGATTACTAAAAGGGATGCATCTGTGTTCAACACTTTCAATAAATGTCAGCTATAAATTTTTTCTTTATGATACAGTCCATGTTTTGTGTCTACTCTATTCATCAACTATGTGGAAAATAAGTTATATGATTTCAGGTGAGAACACCTCTGCTCTCACACAGTCATGATAAATAACAGTCATGATAAATAGCTCTTGTGAAAATGAGAAAAAATGTCTGCTTCATGTTTACTTGAGTAGAATTGATACATAAAATGGATATTTTATTTAAGTTATTATTTATTTTACAGATGAGGTTTCACTACGTTGCCCAGACTGGTCTCAAACTACTGAGCTCAAGTGGTCCTCCCACCTCTGCCTCTCAAAGTGTTAGGTTTACAGGTGTAAGCCACCATGCCTGGCCTAAAATTGATACTTTAAAATAATATTGATTGATAAACACATTTAGTTCAAATATATCCCTTAGGAAAAAATATATACATGAAAAACTATACACACACACACACACACACACACTCATATATGTATACATACATACATGTTATATACAAACATCAAGTTTAGAAAAGAACAGAAGAATCTATAAGGAAAAAAGGCAATGGGAAACAATGTCATGTTAGCCTCAGCCTTAGAGAAGAAGCATTTTAATCAGACAATCTCATATGAACTGAAATAATTTCTAAATAATAGTTGAATGACGACATAACAAAAATATAATTGTTAGGAGATACTGCATATGCGGTAGATCATAGCATTTATTCAAAATAGTCACTGATCCTCTCTTTCAGACCCATTCCTCTCAGGCCACCAACAATAGTACCAAGAGAAGTGGGGCACTTCTATAAGACACCTGAACATGTGAATGTAACTTTGGATGACAGGAAGAGGTTAGAATGCTTTGGAGAGCTCAGAAGAAGAAAGGAGGATGTGGGAAAGTTTGGAACTTCTTAGAGACCTGTTGAATGGTTTTGACCAAAATCCTGATAGAGATATGGACAATGAAATCCAGGTGAAGGTGGTCTCAGATGGAAATGAGGAACTTACTTGGAACTGGAGTAAAGGTCACTCTTCCTATGCTTTAGCAAAGAGACTTGTGGCATTTTGCTTCTTCCCCACAGATCCCTAGAGATCTGTGGAACTTTGAACTTGAGAGAGATGATTTAGGGTATCTGGTGGAAGAAATTTCTAAGCAGCAAAGCCTTTGAGATGTGACCTGTCGGTTTCCAAAAGCATATATTCATATGTGTTCACAAAGAGATGGTCTGAAATTGGAACTTCTGTTTAAAAGGGAAACAGAACATAAAAGCCTGGAAAATTTGCAGCCTGACTATATGGTAGGAAAGAAAAACCCATTTCTCCCATTTTCTGAGGAGAAATTCAAGCCAGCTGCAGAAATTTGCATAAGTAAAGAGAAGACAAATGTTAATGGCCAAGACAATAGGGAAAATGTCTCCAGGACATGTCAGAGATTTTCAAGGCAGCTCTCCCTGTCACAGGCTTGGAAGCCTAGGAGGGAAAAGGGTTTTGTGGGTCCTGCTGCTCTGTGCAACCTCAAGACATGGCACCCTGTGTCCCAGCTGCTCCAGTTCCAGCCATGGCTAAAAGGGGCCAAGGTACAGGTTGAGCCATTGCTTCAGAGGGTGTAAGCCCCAAGCCTTCAAGGCTTTCACGTGGTGTTGGGCCTGTGGGTGTGCAGAAGGCAAGGGTTGAGCTTTGGGAGCCTCCGCCTAGATTTCAGAGAATGTATGGAAATTTAGAAGTCTGCTACAGGGGCAGAGCCCTCATGGAGAACCTCTACCAGGGCAATGCAGAGGGGAAGTTTGGGGTTGGAGACCCCACACAGAATCCCCACTGGGGCACTGCCTAGCGGAGCTATGAGAAGTGGGCCACCATCCTCCAGACCCCAGAATGGTAGATTCACTGGCAGCTTGTGTCATGTGCTTGGAAAAACCACAGGCAATCAATGCCAACCCATGAAATCAGCCATGGGGGATGTACCCTGCACAGCCACAGGGGCAGATCTGCCCCAGGCCTTAGGAGCCCACCACTTGCATCAGCATGACCTGGATGTGAGACATGGTGTCAAATGAGATCATTTTGAACCTTTAAGATTTAATGACTGCCCTGCTGGGTTTTGGACTTGAATGGGGCCTGTAGCCCCTTTATTTTAGTCAATTTCTCCAATTTGGAATGGGAACATTTACCCAATGCCTGTACCCCCATTGTATCTTGGAAGTAACTAACTTGTTCTTTATTTTCCAGGATCATAGGCAGAAGGGACTTGCCTTGTCCAATGTAGATTCATTCAACGTAAGCTTACCCAATATCAACTATTTAATCTAGGAGGGTGCTTGTGATGGTGCACATGCTGGCTCTTCTGCCTCTGCTCATCTGGCTGTATTAGGTAACCCTAATATGCTGATCCTCACAAGATGTGGTGCCCTTCATTGGATGCAGTCAGCTCACACAGGTTGGTACTAATAAGATACTGTGGCTAGAACTGGGCCATGGACTCAAAACTTACACACACACACACACACACACACACACACACACACACCATATGTGGACTTAGGGTATTTTATTTCTTCCAGCAAAAAAAAAAGCATTTAAATAATATATTCCTTATGGTAGAATTTCAGGCAAAGTAGTAGAGCTATTTTATAGCAGGTGGCCATTCTTAATCTTCCTTAAGTGTACCTAACCCAAGGGTCTATTATCTTCTTGTACATAAGACTTGGTGATAAGATTGTCATCTTTCTAAATAAGGTCAAGTTTAAGAGATTTCATACACGTTTGCTACAAAGTCAAGTTTAAGATATTTCATATATGTTTGCCACATCTGAGATTTTTAAAAATACTTCTAGTTTAACATAATTTTATGTACATTCTTCCAAATACTTTTTGCTTTGCCCTTCACTATGTTGAGGTAAACCTGAGCCACATTTTTACCTTTCATTCCTAAGAAACACATCAAAATATTAGACCCATCAAACATTTATTGAAGTGTCAGACGATATTTTCAATAAAAAGGGGGTTTCAAGGGCTAAAATTCAGGAAGTTAATGTGCCAGACTTAAACATACTATGATCTCAAAAAGTTTAGGTTTGCTTCAGAATGTAAAATTAATCAATACAAGATGGGTCTACAATTTAGAAAAACATATCCCTCTTTCCTTTAATTCTTTTTCTGTCACTACTATTTGTGAGAAAACAACAGAAATGTTACAGAGTGAAATGGACCTGTTTGCTTTTAAAGTTTTGTTTGTTTGTTTGTTTGTTTGTTTAGTTTGTAATTTAGAACGGTTTGAAACAACGTTTCTCAGAGTGTGCTCTGTGGAACATAAGGCCCTCAAAAAGTACCTCACCAGAAAAAGCTCTCTTGTCAACTAAATGGGGAGAGTGCTCCATCGCGTTTCCTCTCTGGGAGGCTCATAATGTGTGTTACCATCTGGAGGCTCTGCAAGAATGGAGAGTAGTAAAAGAAGATTTTTCACTTTAACCCAGCATTGTTTGCTTGGCGAGTATATCTGTTAATATCCATGGATTACATTTGGGGAAATACCAAGTTTTTCATAGTTACTTAACCCTTGAATATTTATCCTCTTCAGAGCATGGAAGCAGTGGAATGAACCCGTTAGATATATGGACTTCATTTTTAAAAATTTTATTTATTTATTTTTTTGAGATGGAGTCTCGCTCTGTCCTCCAGGCTGGAGTGCAGTGGCCCGATCTCTCCCCACTGCAACCTCTGCCTCCCAGGTTCAAGAGATTCTCCTGCATCAGCCTCCTGAGTAGCTGGTACTACAGATGTGCACCACCACACCTGGCTAATTTTTTTTTCATATTTTTGTATTTTGTATTTTTAGTTTCACCATGTTAGCCAGGCTGGTCTCAAACTCCTGACCTCAGGTGATCCACCTGCCTCAGCCTCCCACAGTGTTGAGATCACAGGCATGAGCCACCACACCTGGCCAGATATATGGCCTTTAGACTCAGACAACCTGAGTTCAAACCCCAATTCTGCTATTTGCCAGGTGTGTGACCTTGAGCAATAACTTAACATCTCTAAATGTCAGTCCATAGCTAAGCTGCCAGTAAATATGAAGTTCATTGCAATTTTTCTTTCTGACCTTGTCATTCAGAAACAAAATGATAGATTTGCATGGATGATGGATTTCCCAACAGGTCAATTTTCGCATCTGGAATCGACTTTAAACGTGCTCTACCACATTAAAGTCTAAGGACGTCAGTCTCACTTGGAGGCACACTGCAGACACAAGCAGGGCTTCTTCCTAGTCCCTTTGTCCTTTCAGACTTCTCCCCTTCTTGCTCCCTCTCTTCTTCTTAAGCTTTCCAGCTCCACTACTGCTTTGGCTAACTTATTTGGGTTCCCCCTCTCTCATTCATCTAGCACCAGCTGAACTGATTTAGGGTTACCTGGCTATGTTTTCCTAATCTAATTCGACAAATATTTACTGAGTACCAAGGTGGTCCTTCAATCACCCTGAGCACCCAATTCCAGGTTATGACTTCTCTAAAGGACAGAATTTGAACGTTTACATAATATGAGGGGGAAAAAAGAAAACGTTTAGCTTCTTTGGCAAGCTATCGATAAAATAGCTGAAATTCAAGAAGCCTTTTAGTTAGGAGGGAGAGATTGTGAACACAACAGGAAGAAGCCCCAGGCTGAGTGGCAAAGGTTGAGATTTTCTATCGTAAGCCTCACCCAAACCCTTCCTCCCTGAAAGCTGCTGAAGGAGCTTTGGCATGGGCTCATCCTCCCGTTGGCTGATAAGCGAAGCCCTGTTTCATATTTAACTCGCTGCAGTGCAGGCGGGGTAGGGGTGGAGATGCGTCGTTTATAAGGGGAGCTGTGACAATCTTCTCGCCAGCCCTCTTCCTGTCACTTGGCTCCTCTTACGGAGTCCTCAAGCCACCCCCCTTGTTTCCGCATTCATCCTGAGTGGCTGGTGGCAAAGTGAAAAAGGACAGGAAAAGGCACGAGAAGCCAGAGACGGGTGTGGGAAAAGCGAAAACAGGCTGCCAAATCAGGGGATTCCTTCCAATTTAAAAAAGAAGTCTGCTGGCTTTAGTCAAATTCAACATCTTTTTATGTGTAACACTTGACTTGGGAAGCAAAACTGAACTTTGCGGAGAGAGGGCTCTAAGAGATACTACATTCAAATGAAACATGGCCATTCTCTGTGCGATGGTGGTGGGTGTAGGATTAATAGCCGGACTCGCCGTGGGCTTGACCAGATCGTGTGACTCCAGTGGGGACGGCGGGCTGGGCACTGTGCCAGCTCCTTCCCACCTGCCTTCTTCCACGGCCAGCCCGTCGGGTCCTCCTGCCCAGGACCAGGACATCTGCCCGTCCAGTGAGGATGAGAGCGGACAGTGGAAAAACTTTTGACTGCTGAACTTCGTCAACCCGGTCCACTAAGACCTGCACGTGAAGCCCCTGTTGGAGGAGGACACCTACACAGGCACCGTGAGCATCTCCATCAACCTGAGTACGCCCACCCGGCACCTGTGGTTGCACCTCGGGGAGAGCAGGATCACCTGGCTCCCTGACACCCGGCACCTGTGGCTGCACCTCCAGGAGACCAGGATCACCTGGCTCCCCGAGATGAAGAGGCCCTCGGGGGACCAGGTGCAAATCCGGAGGTGTTTTGAGTACAAAAAGCAGGAGTACGTGGTGGTCGAGGCGGAGGAAGAGCAGTGGAGATGGCCTCTATCTCCTGACCATGGAGTTCGCCGGCTGGCTGAACAGCTCCCTCCTGGGGTTCACCTACACAGAGAACGGACAAGTCAAGTAAATATTAATTTTTGCTTTACCTCCCTTAAGCTCACATATCTGCTTTCTGTTTCTTTTCCTTTCCTTTTCACTCTCCACTTTTAATTATTTTGTTGGTCTGATCTTGATTGGCTCTTGGTTTCAACTCTGGCTGTCCATCTGGGAAGCCAAAATTGTTGCCCTGTTGTATTTCCAAACCCTGTCATAAAATTTGAAAGTAGTGAACGAGCTTCGTGGAGTCAAAAGTCAGTGTAAGACTTTTATTTCACAAGGAGAAATCATAATATACTGCACCGTATCTTGAAGATTTCCATAAATATCTCAGTTTTAAAAACTGCCTTTGGTAAATTTCACTAGTGATATTCCCAGGCTATATAGCAATATATATGAGCTTTTAAAGTGGTATTACACTAAATTTACATGAAACATCAGTAAATGTCAGTTATTATTTTGTCCATTTTTTTGTCCAGTATCTCTTTTTTTGGAGAAGAGAGACATTGAAAAATCACATGTGATCCACAGAATTGTCTTTGTGTCTTCATCTGGAAAGGAAGACAGGACTGTGTCTTTTTTGTCTCCTATAGCCAGAACCGTGCTTTACACATAGGCTTTCAGGAAATACTCATTGAGTCCACACATCAGTGGCAGAGATAAATTTGGGGGCTTTTTTCTCATCATGCAATATGCAAACATAATACTAAGACTTTTACAACATAAAAGATATATTAAGTAGTTAAATACATACAAATATTTGTTCCCCCCTCAGCCCTCCAAGCAGAGATGTTTACATGTTACCTATATCTATATCTATCTATCTATCTAGATAGATATTTATTCTACTTACCCACATATTTATCTAGCCTTTGTATCGATCAGTGGCTACTACCAGAACTATACTAAAGGCATAAACTCTCTCACTGAACTCCAAAAACCTTCCTTCACACTGTGGATGTAGCCCTTGCATCAGGGAGGAAGGCTACACTACACCTTGTGTTGTCTCTGGACTGCTTTGACCTTTGCTGACTTAGATTCTGAAGAGGTAAATGATTAATAAAGCTTCATGTCACAGTTTAGAGATGTGAGTCTTGGGCCAGTCCAGCCACAAATATCCCTTTTTTCTGTGGTTTTAAGCATCTTACAGAGCAAGTAAATTTTTTGGTCAAAATTCTTTCTATTGTTTATCAGACAGACCCATGGACTAAAACAAAACATTTAAATCTTCCTATATTCCTGTGTGGTAAACTGATAAATTGAGTAGAAGTGATTGGTTTGAAGAAAATATCTGGAGGAGTCATGCTTATATAGATCCTATATCTTAATATTGCTAGCAATAAAACATTCTTACCATTTACATATTTTTTTCTGTTCATAAAAATTACATCATTGAAAGCATAAAAATTATTTAAAAAAGATAATCAAAATAATCTGTAAGTAATTTCACTGCCCAGTGGCAATCCTTGCTAGCATATTAATGTATACTCTAATGTTTTTCCAGGCAATCAAACCTTTAATTGAATTATATCTGTCTATATGCCTTTTTTACTTAATGTCTTGAGAAGTTCCCCTTATTCTTACATGTTTTCAAGAATCTGTTTTTTGTTTTTTATTGAGACAGGGTATTGCTGTGTTGCCCAGGCTGGTCTTGAACTCCTGGGCTCAAGCAATACTCCTGCCTCCACTTCTCAAAGTGCTTGGATTATAGGCATGAGCCACTGCACACAGCCAAGAATTTGATTTTAAAATGTGAAATACTGGCCGGGCACAGTGGCTAATGCCTGTAATCCCAGCACTTTGGGAGGCTGAGGCGGGCAGATCACGAGGTCGGGAGATCGAGACCATCCTGGCTAACAGGGTGAAACCCTGTCTCTGCTAAAAAATACAAAAATTTAGCCAGGCGTGGTGGCGGGTGCCTGTAGTCCCAGCTACTCGGGAGGATGAGGCAGGAGAATGGCTTGAACCCAGGAGGCGGAGCTTGCAGTGAGCCAAGATCATGCCACTGCACTCCAGCCTGGGCAACAGAGCAAGACTCCATCTCAAAAAAAAAGGATGTGAAATATTTCATTGTTTGAATACATTGTAATTTTTTAAAACAAATCTATTGTTCTATTGTTGAGCATTTGATTTGTTTCTAATATTTTATTATTATAAACAAATCACCAAAGAACATAGTTCTAAATATCTCTTTGTGTGTACATCTGTTTATTTCCTTAGGTTAGGATATAGTCCTAAAAATGGAATTGCTGGGTCAAAGTGTACAAATATACCAAGATATTGTAATAGTTATTTTGTTTATTGATAACATAAATAATATACATTTATTGAAGAAAACTCAGAAAACAGAAAATGATAAGAAAAAAATAAACTCATCCATAAATTCTTTACCCAAGTATAGCCATTGTTAACATTTAGGCAGAAACTGTTTTAGTACTTTTCTGGACATAGATAGCTATGGCATAATTATATTATACATACTATTGTGTAACATGCTTTTTCAATATAGCATCAATGTTTTAATATGCCATTTGGTGTTCTTCCACAAATGATTTGATGGATACATGGTAGGCCATTGCATGACTACAATGTAGTTGATTCACTTTTCCATTAAATGTGGGTATTTAAGTTGCTCCTATTTTTTCACCTATAAGGATCTCGAAGAAGGCACATGCTTATATTGACTGTCCTTGTAAATAACAATTTATGAACATTTTCTAATATTTCTTTAAGAAAGTTCCTAGAAGATGGGCCAAAACTACCTGTGTATAAATGCATGTATGTCTGTGTATATATATGTACATGCATATACATATATAACATATATATACATGAACATGTGTATGCATGTGTATGTGTCTCCAAACTGACTTTCAAAAAATAGTCCCAAACTCGGTTTCCACCCACAATGTATGAAAGCACCTATGTCTCTGAGCCTAACAATACAATGATTTTTTAAAAGTATTTGCCAATGGTTGAGGGAAGGGCAATATTCTGAAGAATATCCACCTTAAAGAGATTCTAAAAATTCATTAAAGTGAAAGTGAGTCAAGATTTTTAAAACATTATTGCTAAAACTTTAAAACTGCTTCTTAGGTCATAAATACAAGAGACATTTTATGTGAGTAAAATCATCAAAATATTTATAAAATAAATGAAATAAAATTTTACACATATTAGGAAGGCTAAAAATTGGAACTATGTAGTTTCCATTAATAAGTTTTTATTATGTACTTCGTAAGTCTAATAAAGCATTATGTACACAAATACTCTCACTCTTTGAGTCATTTTACTGTACCAGTTAATTTTGCCATAAAATATATACCAGAGAGCTGCCCTTCTGAAGCTCAGTTGATTTAATTTTCATTGGAGAATATGAAATGACGGCAAAATCAGTGATGAAGGCTGATGCTTAGTTCAGTTCTCACTGAGAATTGCTGTTCCCAAGTTTGTATGTTTCACTGGGAGCAGTTTAAGCTCTCACATTACACAAGATGCTACCAGTTCTGTACTGCACACATGTGGTTTTGGAACAGATCTGGCATCATCTCAATAACCTCATTTAGGCTAAGTGGAATACTTTATGTTTTCCTTGTCTGAAATATTTCAAGCATTATGGGAAAAGTGCATCATGCTTTTTTTTCAAGCCTGTGAGTAATATTTTGGCAATGCAGCCTGTAGGAGTTATGATCCACAGGCTTTATGTAAGAGCCACCAGAGGGAGTTCACTGGGGCAGAGCCATTCTTTCATACTACAGAGTGAGCTTCATCATATATGATGTTTGTATCATTTAAGATGTCATCGTAGTAGTACAGAGTCAAAATTATATTTTTGACCTTAACGTAAAATGTAACTCCAGATTGAGTATTACCATTTAGGGATATTAATGTGACAACCACAATGCAAACGAAACAGGATTGCACTCAGTAGTAACCAAAATTACTTAATTTCTGTAAATACAATCAGGACTTTGAGCTTCACAAACTTCACAGCTACCAAAGATGCTTTCTCTCAAGATTGAGATATGGGGAAGAAAGGGGACACAATTTAGAATTCCACATTGTCTTTCTAGGGACAGATTTGTAGTGGGGTATGGGAGGAGAAAGTTTGAGAAACATCCAGTCACTTTTCCTTTATTGATCTACCTCTTCCTACTCTAGTCTATTCGTTAGGGTCTGAGGAAAATCATTTGGAAGGATTGGAGTCTTTGGAATGTTTCTCTGACCACACCCTCCTTCTTCCCATTTTCTCACTGTATTATGCAGGATTTCCAGCTGTTCCCTTCCCTAAAAGAATTTCCCTCTACTCAAACTCCAAAGTATATGTTTTCTTCTCTCCAAGATTTGGCTTTTCCTTGTCAGCATTTGAATTATGCTTACTTAGCATTTCCCAAAGTATGTACTGCAGAATTCTAGTTGCGTGGGGATCTTAGTAGATATTACCAGAAAAATGGCAGGGGAGAGATTCTGTGGCTAAATCACTTTATGCAATAATACCAAATACAAAATGATCTGTTTTGGATTTTGTTTTTTAATTATGGAAGTTTTTAGAGACTTTTTTTTTAAGAGATGAAGTCCAGGCTGGGATAGAACTCCTGGCTCAAACTCATGAGTTCATGAGTTCAAGTGATCCAACCACCTCAGCTTTCTGAGTTGCTGGGATTACAGGGTTTACAGAGGCTTTTATATGATAATGTCCACTATGTAGTTTCCCAAGTATCTGTGACTATGGATTCTTCTGTGGGGTTCCTAAGAGTAGGGATATATGTCTCTCATTTACTGTTTGGCACACAGTGAGCACTGAAATATTGTTAAATTGAATATATTGAAATATTTTCATATAAGCTCTCACATGATTAGTATCCTCTGGCAAATGCTGGGACACATTGCATTACCACAGCTCCTTTCCCATAAACGAGGCTAACTTCCACCAATAACATCTCTACAATCCCACTTAGGGTGAAAGTTTCCTTTTCTCCCTACCCTGTGGAAGGGAAGAGTTTATATGTGTATGTGTGTGTGTATGTGTATATATATAAAATATATGTTATATATAATATATATAGTATATTTTTACATATAATATATATTTATTATGTATTGTATATAATATATATTGTATATAATAGTTTATATATTACATATATTATATAATAAATATATTATATACTATATATATTATATAATATATATAATATATAATGTATATAATATATAATATATAATAAATATATTATGTATAATTATATATACTATCAATATATAATAGATAGTATTAATACATAATAGATAGTATTAATATATAATAGTATTAATATATAATAGATAGTATTAATATATAATATATATTATTAATATATAATAGTATTAATATATAATATATAGTATTAATATATAATAGTATTAATATATAATATATATTATTAATATATAATATATAGTATTAATATATAATATATATTATTAATATATAATATATAGTATTAATATATAATATATATTATTAATACATAATATATTAATATATAATATATTATGAATATATAGTATATTAATAATATATAATATATATTCATAATATATAACATATTATTAATATATAATATATATTAATAATATATAATATATTATTATATAATATATATTATTAATATATAATATATTATTATATAATATATAGTATTAATATATAATATATTATTAATATATAATATATAGTACTAATATATAATATATATTATTCATATATAATATATATTATTAATATATAATATATATTATTAATATATAATATAAAGTATTGATATATAATATATCTTATTAATATATAACATATAGTATTGATATATAATATATAGTATTAATATATACTATATATTAATAATACATAATATATAGTATTAATATATAATATATATTATTAATATATAATATAAAGTATTGATATGTAATATATAGTATTAATATATAATATAAAGTATTGATATGTAATATATGATATTAATATATACTATATATTAATAATATATAATATATAGTATTGATATATTATATATTACTAATATATTAATATATCATATATATTCATATATTACATATTATTATGCATTATATATAATATATCATATATTATACATTATATATAATATATATCATGTATTATACGTTATATATAATATATATCATGTATTATACGTTATATATAATATATATCATGTATTATACGTTATATATTATATATCATGTATTATAAGTTATATATAATATATATCATATTGTACGTTATATATAATATATATCATGTATTATACGTTATATATAATATATATCATATATTGTACGTTATATATAATATATATCATATATTATACGTTATATATAATATAAATCATATATTGTACGTTATATATAATATATATCATATATTGTACGTTATATATAATATATATCATATATTATACGTTATATATAATATATATCATATATTATACGTTATATATAACATATATCATATATTATACGTTCTATATAATATATATCATATATATCATATATTATACGTTCTATATAATATATATCATATATATCATATATTATACGTTATATATAATATATATCATATATATCATATATTATACGTTATATATAATATATATCATATATATCATATATGTTATATGTAATATATCATATATTACACGTTATATATAATATATATTATACGTTATATACGTTATATATAATATATATCATATATTATACGTTATATATAACGTATAATATATAATGTATATCATATATTACATATAACGTATAATATATAATATATATTATATATTACATATAACGTATAATATATATAAAATATATAATATATATTATATATAATTTACAATATATAATATATTAATAATATATATAATATATATATTATATATAAAATATATATTATATATATTATATATAATATAAAATATATATTATATATATTATATATTATATATTATATAAAATATATTATATATAATATATATTATATATAATATATAATATAAAGGATATATTTTATATTATATATAATATATCTAATATATATATTAGATATATTATATATAATATACAATATATTGCATATATTATATATTATATAAAATATATATTATATATATTATATATTACATATATGTAATATAAAATATATATTACATATATTATATAATATAAAATATATATTACATATATTATATATAATATAAAATATGTATTA
The DNA here is from genome assembly GCF_000001405.40 of Homo sapiens. Taxonomy (NCBI): domain Eukaryota; kingdom Metazoa; phylum Chordata; class Mammalia; order Primates; family Hominidae; genus Homo; species Homo sapiens. The sequence goes on from NC_000011.10 coordinate 50,178,057, forward strand.
TATATATTATATATATACATATATACATATACATATATGTATATGTATACATACATATACATATAATATATATTACATATATAATATATATAAAATATATTAATTATATATATAATTATATATATAATATATTTAATATATTATATATAAAAATACATATATAAATATATATATATTTGTATTTAGGAATGCAATCTCCATAGTTTAAAGGCAAAGAAACAGTGGAATTGACCGGAAGTACAACCGGAATTTTAAAGAGATCATCTCTAGTTTGGGCTTCCAAGGTGTTCTTTGTAGCACTAGTAGGATTTAAGCTGAATTTTGATGTTATGGTGGGAGTTCAGCAGCAGAGACAAATGGGGAAGTAAAAGCAGGCAAAAAGGAAAGGCACCAAGTTAGAAAAGCATAGTGGGGACAAGAAAATTAGTTTGTAGGGGAAGTTTATATGAAAAGGCTAGCTAGGTATCACTGAGGAAAACCCATATGGAGGAAAAGGAAAAATAGCCATGATAGGCATTATGAAGGAGAAATTACCTGGTGACTTTTTGTATACAGATGGTGAAAGAAAGAGTTAACTATACACTTGGGTATATGAAAGCTATTGCAACAAGCCAGGAAAGAGAAGATAAAGATCAGATAGGAAAAGTGATTTCAGGATAGAGAAGAGATGGCACAATGGAGAAAATAGTTTGGAGGTAAAGTAAAGATTTGCCAACTGATTGACTATGAGGAAGAGTGAGTTAATGTTATGCATCTAGGATACACCAGCTAGCCTTCACTTCAGTTGATATTGGAAATAGGAGGGAAGTGGCCAGGTTAGAAGGGAGGGTCATAAGTTCAGTGTCAGATGTTTTGATGGCTTGTCAGACATCTAGGAAGAGATGACTAGTAGGCACTTGCATAAGTAAGTCTGAAGCACAGGTTAGAGCTTGTAATAAAGATTTAGAAGTTGAGTGGAGACATCAGTGAGACAATCATCATTAAGAGTGTGTGTGTGTTTGTGTGTGTGTGTGTGTGTGTGTAATGTATTTTTATGTGCATGGATGTGTATTTATACTCAAGCAAATGTAGTTTTGATCTTGAAATTTTTGTTGTATGTCTGTTTATTCATTATATTCTTAGATTGGTATGCTGAGATATTATCCCACTGTCAATAAAAATGTCAATAAAGAATAGATTTTCGGTTGGGCAAGGTGGCTTATGCCTGTAATCCCAGCACTTTGAGTGGCCAAGGCAGGCGGATCACCTGAGGTCAGGAGTTCGAGACCAGCCTGGCCAACATGGTGAAACCCCATCTCTACTAAAAATACAAAAATTAGCTGGGGGTAGTGGCACATGCCTGTAATCCCAGCTACTCTGGAGGCAGAGGTGGGAGAATCACTTGAACCCAGGAGGTGGAGGTTGCAGTGAGGCAACATTGTTCCACTGCACTCTAGCCTGGGTGACAGAGTGAGACTCCATTTCAAAAACAAAAAAAGACTTTAATCCATCTTTAATTGATTTTTGTATAGGTGTAAGGAAGGGATCCAGTTTCAGCTTTCTACATATGGCTAACCAGTTTTCCCAGCACCATTTATTAAATAGGGAATCCTTTCCCCATTGCTTGTTTTTCTCAGATTTGTCAAACGTTAGACCTAAAACCATAAAAACCCTAGAAGAAAACCTAGGCATTACCATTCAGGACATAGGCATGGGCAAGTACTTCATGTCTAAAACACCAAAAGCAATGGCAACAAAAGACAAAATTGACAAATGGGATCTAATTAAACTAAGGAGCTTCTGCACAGCAAAAGAAACTACCATCAGAGTGAACAGACAACCTACGAAATGGGAGAAAAATTTTGCAACCTACTCATCTGACAAAGGGCTAATATCCAGAATCTACAATGAACTCAAACAAATTTACAAGAAAAAATCAAACAACCCCATCAAAAAGTGGGCAAAGGACATGAACAGACACTTCTCAAAAGAAGACATTTATGCAGCTAAAAAACTCATGAAAAAATGCTCATCATCACTGGCCATCAGAGAAATGCAAATCAAAACCACAATGAGATACCATCTCACACCAGTTAGAATGGCAATCATTAAAAAGTCAGGAAACAACAGGTGCTGGAGAGGATGTGGAGAAATAGGAACACTTTTACACTGTTGGTGGGACTGTAAACTAGTTCAACCATTGTGGAAGTCAGTGTGGCGATTCCTCAGGGATCTAGAACTAGAAATACCATTTGACCCAGCCATCCCATTACTGGGTATATACCCAAAGGACTATAAATCATGCTGCTATAAAGACACATGCACACTTATGTTTATTGTGGCATTATTCACAATAGCAAAGACTTGGAACCAACCCAAATGTCCAACAATGATAGACTGGATTAAGAAAATGTGGCACATATACACCATGGAATACTATGCAGCCATAAAAATGGTGAGTTCATGTCCTTTTTAGGGACATGGATGAAATTGGAAATCATCATTCTCAGTAAACTATCGCAAGAACAAAAAACCAAACACCGCATATTCTCACTCATAGGTGGGAATTGAACAATGAGATCACATGGACACAGGAAGGGGAATATCACACTCTGGGGACTGTTGTGGGGTGGGGGGAGGGGGGAGGGATACCATTGGTAGATATACCTAATGCTAGATGACGAGATAGTGGGTGCAGCGCACCAGCATGGCACATGTATACATATGTAACTAACCTGCACAATGTGCACATGTACCCTAAAACTTAAAGTATAATAATAAAAAATAAATAAATGAGTAAAAGAATACATTTTCTTTTTGGTCTTGTTTACTTGATGCAGGAGGCTAAGTAAATTTCTTTTTTTTTGGAAGCAAGGAAACAAAAAGAAATTTTACCTGACCTTGAATATCTTCTACAAAGAAAAACCGCAATTGGTAAATAAAGTTAAATAACTAACTGATTCATTCAAACCACCATAAAAATACATAGAGGTCTTAACAATCTAGAGGGGTTGTTTTTTACCAATCTCCCCTATGTAATTCTGGAACACTTCATTTAGTCTATATAGACCCCTAGCAAATGTGACTACCTGTCCTGAATCAGAAGCTCTATATTTAAGGATTTCATCCAAAACTTGCTGTTTATTTTGCTGGTTCAACTTATTTGCTCAACACAGTCAGAGTCTTCACTGGAAACAGTGTACCAAAAGATTTATGAGATAATTAGGTACCTTTTTTTTTTTTTGAGTCGATTCAGAGTGATCCAAACCATAGCTTGTGCCATCGCCCCTTCTCCTTCAGTTTTCTCTAAAGTCACCTTGATCTGATCCACTCAGGTGCCAGAGAAATGCTCTTCCCTTTTGGAAATGACTAAATTGCATAGACTATCATTTTATTGTGCTAAGTCTAGTAAGTGACCTATTAATGTGGCATAGGGAGGCCCTTGTGGGAAAGTGGTTTACTCCAACACATTTGCCTGGTGTGATAATTATTCAGGACATACCCACGAGTCACTCCTGAACATGTGGTACTATTAGTCAGCCTTTTTCTCTTAATTTGCAATGCAAGTCATCTGATTTTAATCACTGAATAAAACCTTCCCAAAGAAGTTGTGATCTAGAATTGTTTTGTATTGTTATCTCTTACTCCTTATTTTCAACTTTGCATACACTTAGAAAGTTTAGGGCCGACTGATGGAATTCAGGATATATAAAAGCAGCTTTTGAGTTATTCTGAAGTTCATGAGAAAAAGAACAGGCTACCATTTTAAAAATGCTTATATTGCCCATAGTGTATATACACCAAGTAATTTTGTTCCAGTATATGTTGCAGTCAAATGAAAGAATTTGAAATATTTCAGATTGTGAAAGTGCTATGCCAGAAAGCACAGTTAGCATTCTAGATTTATAAGATGTAGAATGATGTATATCCTAACTGGATTATGTAAATTTTAAGGAGGTTTCAAATGTATTACTACATGTAATCTACCCCTGCTCACTTCCCCATAATGCTGTGAAGAAGCCATGCATGCTCTCGTGACCAGGTTTTACAGATGAGGACACTAAAAGTCTTAGGTTTTGTGACTTGGTCAAGATCACACTTAAGTGGCTGAAGTAGGATTAGGATGTAAGAATTTTTGCTCTTAGGAAAGGGTTTTCCCCATAAAATCATATTGGTTCTGAACTTTAAAAAAAGAAAAAGAAAATAAACATTATATAGCTCTTCTGATTGATGAATATCACTGTATCTATATCTGGGTCACTGTGATTGAGTTAGACTTGCTGTGATTGACATTTGCTGAGAGGACCACAGAGCTGGACCAAACACACTCCACGGAGAAATCTCCCACACTGTTCTGTTCCATGTCCATTGGCAAGCTCAGGAATACACTAATTTAGGAAGGTAGTTTTTGCCTACAATCAAGCAGAATGTCTTTTAAAGAGAGAAGGTGAGAAAAGGATTGAAAAATCTTTTCTTTCCTGGGTTCTTAGGATTTTATACATATATGTATTTTCTAGCATCCAGCCAAGAGTAAAATAGAATATTTGAAAACATTCTCATGGCTATAGCTTAGGAAAGTGTGATTCCACTCCCTCCTTCCTCACACCTCCCACACATGAAGATGTGTGTGGTGCGCATGCATGCGCACTCATCTTCTCAAATTAGTTAGCTGGCCTATTTCTGAGTTGTGACTCAGCTGAGACCTTCTTCTGGTGAGTGACTTTTCCTTTTCCTCTGCCTCTGGAAAACATCAGAAGCCAGAAGAATTCAGAAGAAAAAGGCAGCTGACTAAACATGGGGTTGGAGCTTGATGGAACTTATTATAAAACTTTCATACTCTGGGAAAGTGTACAGACTTTTTTAGAGTCTGATATATTTACCATTAACTACAATCTGCAAGATGTTTAGAAGCTTCAATTGACTAAAGTGTTAATGTCACAAAACTAATCAGTGAATGTTCTACTGCAGAATGAATTCTTAACTGAGGCTTTTCTTGGGTAACTTTATTGTGACATAATTTCAAACTCATAGGAGAGTTATAAGAATGGTACTAGTGAGAGGTGACAGCGTGCTGGCAGTCCTCACAGCCCTCGCTGGCTCTCCACACCTCCTCTGCCTGGGCTCCCACTTTGGAGGCACATGAGGAGCCCTTCAGCCCACCGCTGTACTGTGGGAGCCCCTTTCTGGGCTGGCCAAGGCCGGAGCCGGCTCCCTCAGCTTGCAGGGAGGTGTGTAGGGAGAGGAGCAAGCGGGAACCGGGGCTGCGTGCCACGCTTGCGGGCCAGCTGGAGTTCCGGGTGGGCATGGGCTTGGTGGGCCCCACACTCGGAGCAGCCAGCCGGCCCTGCCGGCCCTGGGCAATGAGGGGCTTAGCACCCAGGCCAGCGGCTGCAGAGGGTGTACAGGGTCCACCAGCAGTGCCGGCCCACTGGCACTGCACTTGATTTCTCGCCGGGCCTTAGCTGCCTTCCCACGGGGCAGGGCTCCGGACCTGCAGCCCACCATGCCTAAGCCTCCCCACCCACTCCGTGGGCTCCTGTGGGGCCCAAGCCTCCCCAACGAGCGCTGCACCCTGCTCCATGGCACCCAGTCCCATCGACCACCCAAGGGCTGAGGAGTGCGGGCACACTGCGCTGGACTGGCAGGCAGCTCCACCTGCAGCCCCAGGGCGGGATCCACTGGGTGAAGCCAGCTGGGCTCCTGAGTCTGGTGAGGATGTGGAGAACCTTTATGTCTAGCTCAGGGATTGTAAATACACCAATCGGCATTCTGTATCTAGCTCAAGGTTTGTAAACACACCAATCAGCATCCTGTGTCTAGCTCAGGGTTTGTGAATGCACCAATGGACACTCTGTATCTAGCTACTCTGGTGGGGCCTTGGAGAACCTTTATGTCTAGCTCAGGGATTGTAAATACACCAATTGGCACTCTGTATCTAGCTCAAGGTTTGTAAACACACCAATCAGCACCCTGTGTGTAGCTCAGGGTTTGTGAATGCACCAATCGACACTGTATCTGGCTACTCTGGTGGGGACTTGGAGACACTCTGTATCTAGCTAATCTAGTGGGGACTTGGAGAACCTTTGTGTCTAGCTCAGGGATTGTAAACGCACCAATCAGCACCCTGTCAAAACAGACCACTGGGCTGTACCAATCAGCAGGATGTGGGTGGGGCCAGATAAGAGAATAAAAGCAGACTGCCCCAGCCAGCAGTGCCAAGCCGCTGGCATCCCCTTCCACACTGTGGAAGCTTTGTTCTTTTTTGCTCTTTGCAATAAATCTTGCTGCTGCTCACTCTTTGGGTCCACACTGCTTTTACGAGCTGTAACACTTACCGCGAAGGTTTGCAGCTTCACTCCTTAAGCCAGCGAGACCAGGAGCCCACTGGGAGGAAGAACAACTCCAGACGCGCCTCCTTAAGAGCTGTAACACTCACCATGAAGGTCTGCAGCTTCACTCCTGAGCCAGGGAGACCACGAACCCACCGGAAGGAAGAAACTCCGAACACATCCGAACATCAGAAGGAACAAACTCCAGAGGCGCCACCTTAAGAGCTGTAACACTCACCGCAAGTGTCACCGGCTTCATTCTTGATGTAAGTGAGACCAAGAACCCACCAATTCCAGACACACTAGGAATTCCTAGAAATACTTAAACTAGATAAACCAGTTGTTTACATTTTAGCCTGTACCCCTTCCCCTTCCTTTCCAGAGCACATGGAAACATCCTCTCCCTTTACCCGTTAACATAAGAGCATATTTCTTAAGTATGGGGTCATTCTCTAAAATAACCATAGTACGGTCATCAAAATCATGAAATTTAACATTGATACAATTATCCAATTCACAGTCTGTAACAGAATTTTATCAACTAACCTAATGATGTCTTTTTGAATGATTTTTTTTTCCCAGTCCAGTACCCAGTCTGGAATTTAGCGTCATGCACTTTTAGACTCTTTTAAACTGAAACCAGTCCTTTAGTCCTTCTTCGTCTTTCTAAAGTTAATATTTTTTGAAGAATACAGGCAAGCTATTTTGAGAATGTCCCTCAGTTTTAATTTGTCTGATTTTCCTCATGATTTAAAAATGCAAGTTAAGCTTTTTGTTGTTGTTGTTGTTGCTGTCAGGACTATCACAGAAGTGATGTGTCTCTCTCAGGAAATCACATTAGAGACACACTGTGCTGATTTGAACTATTGTTAGTGATGCTTGCTTTGATAGCTTGCTTAAGGTAGTGTCCAACAAGTGTCTCCATTGTAAAGTTACGATGTTTCTCTTTAGGTAACTTTCAGGGAGTTGTTTTTGAAACCTTGCAAATATCCCTTCCTTACCAAAGTTTCATCCCCTTGTTTTGGCATCCACTGATGATTTTTTAAATATCAATTTTTTCTTCAAATATTATTAGTAGACAATCTACTGGAAGGAAGAAATTTCCCTTCTCACCCATTTATTTCTTCATTTAAAAAATCAGAGTAAGGACTCAAAGATTATTAATTTATTCAATGAGTTGTAATCCCATTGTTTATTTTGATGTTCCAATACTCCCATATTTGGCCAACGGCAGTCAAATCTTTGACTGTAATAAATCCTTGAACCAAAATAAAATGCATGCTCTTCTCATGATTGCTGATATTTTCCTGATCTGGCCTCTGCCGACCTCATGTCAAACTCATCTCTGGCTCCAGTCCCTCTGGTTCAGTGTTCTTTAGCCACACTGGACACCTTTCAATTCTTCAACCACATCAGGTTCTTTTTCATCTTAGGGACTTTGCACTTATGGTTCCTTCTGCTTGAACATATTTTCCTGAATCTCCACTTGCCTGGCTTTTTCTCATTATTCAGATCTCGGCAAACCAAGAGATTGTGACTACTCTACTTAATGTTGCTTACCACTTTTCCTAGTCATTCTCTATCTCTTCCAATGTTTTATTTTCTATATAGCTATCATCACTGTCCTAAATTATTTATTTGTGTGTCTCTTGTCTAACACCCTGTAAGCAGTACGGAATCTTATCTATACATGTAACTGCCCAATGGGTTCACCTTGCCCACTGCCTAGACAGAGCCGATTTATCAAGATGGGGGGAATTGAAATGGAGAAGGAGTAATTCACACAGAGCCAGCTGTGCAGGAGACCAGAATTTTATTATTACTCAACTTTGTCTCCCCCAGTATTTGGGGATCAGAGTTTTTAAGATAATTTGGCAGGTAGGGGCTTGGGAAGTGGGGACTGCTGACTGGTCAAGTTGGAGATGGAGTCATAGAGGGTCAAAGTGAGTTTTTCTTGCTGTTTTCTCTTCCTGGGTGGCATGGCAGAACTGGTTGAGCCAGATTACTGGCCTGGGTGGTGTTAGCTGATCCATCAAGTACGGAGTCTGCAAAATATCTCAAGGGCTAATCTTAGGTTTTACAGCAGTAATGTTATCCCCATGAGGAATTTGAGGAGGTTGAGACTCTTACAGCCAGAGGCTGCATGACCCCTAAACTGTAATTTCTAATCTTGTACCTAATTTGTTAGTTCTGCAAAGGCAGACTGGTCCCTAGGGAAGAAGGAGGTCTTTTCAGGAAAGGGCTATTATCAATTTAGTTTCAGAGTGAAACCATGAACCAAATTCCTTCCCAAAATTAGTTCAGCCTGTGCTCAGGACTGAACAAGTACAGCTTGAAGGTTAAAAGCAAGATGGAGTCGGTTAGGTCTGACTTTTTTCACTCTCATAATTTCCTCTGTTATAATTTTGCAAAGGCAGTTTCATACAGCAGCTAGACAAATGTCTGCACATGTGTGCATGCATGCATAGGTGCTTGTGTGTGCATGTGCGTGTGTGGAAGGGGATCAATTAATATTTCTTGGATGAATGGATGATGTAATAACTTAGCCTGATATTGTTTATGATATGTCTTCCTTAGTTTCAAGAATCCTGAAAGACAAAATTTTTCCTTACACAAATTATTAATGAATAGAAATTACCATTTCTTTTTTATACTTTTTACTTTGCTTCATTTTCTAATAAGCAAATATATAATATTCTCTTACTGTAATACATTTACATGTAAAAAGTGTATGTTTATTGTTTTTTTGAGCAATTACTCAGAAAATAATATTTTCACCTTGAAATTATGAAAATACTAAACATTAACATTTTAGTTTACACAAGTATAAGCCTAGTTAGAGCCATAAAAATAAAATGCTGTTTTCTCTTTTTAAGAGTGAGCTTTAAACTAAGACAAAGGTTACTTCATCTAAGAGATTACTCAGCACTGCCTTTACATGGAAATGAAACTAGGGTTTTGTCCCTGGTGTAACATAAATAACAAAGAATGTGTCATTAGGGACAGGGACTGGGGACTCTGGAATAAACATCACTCTGTGACAGAAGACAGCTGTTCACTTCCCATAAGGGCAGTTAGACACAAGCTTTTGAGTTTGGCTTTGTGTTTATCTACTTGTTGCTCAATGGCTTTGGGGTGGAGAGAGTACTAGCTCATAATTGGATTTATTTTTGCTTCTCCACAGATTTTTAGTTGTGGCACCAAAATAGCTGTTAGGTTGGTGCAAAAGTAACTGCGGTTTTTGACAAATAAATATGTGAATGAAATATCTGAAGCAATCTGTCTCAGGATTTTTTAAAAATTTGTTAACCTAAAAATTCCAGGAAAACCTTTGACAAATATTTGATCATTTTCTAGATGGTACCTCATTTTTAGAACTGTAATAGTTATAATTGCATAGCTGATTTATTTTTCCCTAGGAATAGAGACATAGGGGTTGTCAGAAGAGGCAGCATGCATTTTGTTTGTGTGTTTGTTTCTAAGGAGCATAGCGGCCACTGATCATGAACCAACAGATGCCAGGAAATTCTTTCCTTGTTTTGATAAGCCCAACAAAAAGGCAACTTATACAATATCTGTCACCCATCCCAAAGAATATGAAGCACTTTCACATATGCCAGTGGCAGTAAGTATTTTTTAAATGTTTTGTTTATGCAGAGAGTCTGTTGACAACATTAGGTCAATTACCTGATTTTTGGTGAAAGAAAACCCATTGAATTCTAAAACTAAATGTGCACTAATAGTTTATTTAGCCGAGTGAAATACATTTTGGCAATCTTTTTCTTTGAGTCCTGGAAGTTTTTAAGATATCACAGTCCAGTAAGAAAGCCACATTGGTGTTTCTACACAAGAGACAATGCCATAGACACATACATCAGCTTGAGCTCTGCTTAGCTGCCAGAATCCCTGAGTGAGTCATGATAAATTACAGTAATGGCAAACTAATGGAATTACAGACTTGAAAATATTTGAGGGCTACTCAGTACTTAGTTTTCAGGTGACTATAAACCCAGTTTTTTTCTTTTTAAAGATAAAGCTACTATAAAAAAATCACTTAAATACTGGGTTGTGGAAGCAAACTCCAGGAAATACTCTGCCCATAGACTCCTTTGGTGATAGGAAGTGCTTATTAAATGTCTGGAGAAAAAAATAACAGGCTGTAAAAAAGGATGAGTTCATGTCCTTTGCAAGGACATGAATGAAGCTGGAAACCATCATTCTCAGCAAACTAACACAGGAATAGAAAACCAAACACTGCATGTTCTCACTCATAAGTGGGAGTTGAACAATAAGAACACATGGACACAGGGAGGGGAACATCACACACCAAGTCCTATCAAGGGCTGGGGGGCTAGAGGAGGGGTAGCTTTAGGAGAAATACCTAATATAGATGACGGGTTGATGGGTGCAGCAAACCTCCATGTCATGTGTATACCTATGCAACAAACATGCACGTTCTGCACCTGTATCCCAGTATAATAAACAAATAAATTAATTTAATTAAATTTAAAAAAGAGAAAAAATAACAGGCTGATAATTTCTGCCTGTATTAATTATTCATTAACATAAAACACTTTTTTCTGCTATTGCCTCTTATCTCCATAATGGATAATGTTGTTACCTAGGGTACCTCAAAGTTGAGGTTTACATACTTTATAAATTTGACATGTAAAAGGGTCAGGCTCATCTTTAGGTATAATAATGAGAAGGACACCAGCCCCAAATTATGTCTCCCATCTTTCTGATCCACTATTTGAAATATTATCATTAAAATTTGTCTTTTTAAATGATAAAGTATTCCTTGAAAAAGCAACAACAAAATAAAGCAAATAAAAGCTTCAGAGGATTAAAATGTACTCTTAGCAGCCATCCCTGCCTCAATGAGAATTAATTATCAATGTGTTTTCTTCTAAGGTTTGATTGGAGAAGAAAGAGGAAAGGATAAACTTAAAGTATGACACACCAATCTAGATGAAGGTGGGGGGAAAAATGGCAAATTCACCCACTTCTGTTTAAGATCTTCCCTTATGGCCGTTTCACTGTGCAGAGTTACACTTCACCTTCTACTAGATCCAGATAGTAGTCCTGGAAGAAGGGGAATATTCTGGGTTCTTAGGAGATCAAAACTAACACTACTAGGTTTTTATGGTAGAGTAATGTAGCCTGGAGCCCCACCACAATTATACACCGGCACGCACACACATGCTTGAAGCATCAGCAGCACCCATTCTAGTCCAGCCTCCCTCACTTAATCTCTTTTGAAGCCATCTCAAATAGAGTGACTGCAGGAGATGTGGCAATGATTAAGTAATGGAAGCAGGAATTGGGCAAGTATTCATGGTAGAAGTCTTAGGATAGGTGATCGACAGTGAGGACAGCAGAGCAGACATGGACAAAACAAGCCAGATAGGTCAGTAGTTGTGTCAAGCAATAGAATTCGTCTCTCTGTCCATGGAGACCGAGGCACGGACTTTGGTGGCCATACCTTTAGTCTTTGATGTAGACAATGAAAGATGGAAAAGAGAAGCCAATGTTCCACGACACCGGGTACAGCAATTGCCCTCTGCACAGTCGAATCAGAAAATACTTGAGCACGAGCCTGTTTTTCATTAGGAGATCGCAGTATTCTCAAATATTATAGTCAGCATGATGTGTTTACTGTAGACAGATAAACTCCTATTCAACTGATAGTCCAGTCAAAATTTTATTTCTCCCTGAAAAACCTAATACAGTGTGTAATTCAGTCAGTTTTTCACAGTTCTAAAAACAAAGTTAATTTTCCTGTAGTCTTTTCAACATCACCACAAACAATGTGACCTCTAAGCTTTGACAAAGGACTTCTGACTAGAAAGCAAGGTTTGGGGCAATCGTTTATTTGTTTGTCTTGCATGTATATGATTGATCTTTTGATAGATAAAAGTTGATCTTTTCAATAGAAAGAAGAGTCAGTGGATGATAAATGGAATCAAACAACTTTCAAGAAGTCTGTCCCCATGAGCATGTACCTGGTGTGCTTTGCTGTACATCAATTTCATACTGTAAAGACAATATCAGATATTGGAAAACCTGTGAGTCTCATTATATTTTAAAAATTTACCACCAATGCATTTGTAATTAATTTTCTACTTTTTTTTTTTTTTTGAGACAGAGTCTTGCTCTGTCACCCAGGCTGGAGTGCAGTGGCACAATCTCGGCTCACTGCAAGCTCCGCCTACCAGATTCAGGCCATTCTCCTGCCTCAGCCTCCAGAGTAACTGGGACTACAGGCGCCCACCACTGCGCCTGGCTAATTTTTTGTGTTTTTAGTAGAGACAGGGTTTCACTGTGTTAGACAGGATGGTCTCAATCTCTTGTCCTCGTGATCCACACTCCTCGACCTCCCAAAGTGCTGGGATTACAGGCATGAGCCACTGCACCTGGCCAATTTTCTACTTTTTTTGAGTCGTGTTTTTGTTGTTTTTTTGTTTTTTTTTTCAAACAACATGCCAGAAAAGCCCAAAAGTCCTCAGGGTCTGTGAACTTGATAATACATAGAACAATATAGAAAAATGGCTGAAAGGACACAGATAAAAAATAAACCAACACAACAGACATAGATACTTATGGCCTTAAATTATTTCAAGGGAAAAATTTGCTATAAGTCAAAAGCTAGCTCCTACGTATATCAGCACAAATATATTAAAATGTTTGGGTATGCCCAATGTAATAAAATGGTTGAGTATATGTGTACCTCTCCCAGATATAGACTAGAGAGAGAAGAGGAAACCTGAGGTAAAGGAATATCCTTCGAATGATGAGGCAGTGAGAAGTTTATGGCTCCATTCCTATATGTAATCAAAATAGGATAGCAACAAAGTATCCAAAAGCATTTTTTAAAAGCATGATAAAATATAAATAAGCATTTTTTAAAATATTAAGATGACTAGTTCAATAGTTTTCTTTGTTTCTTTTTGTTGTTGTTGTTTGTTTGTTTGTCTGTTTTTTCAGACAGTCTCGCTCTGTCACCCAGGCTGGAGTGCAGTGGTGCGATCTCAGCTCACTGCAACCTCTGCCTCATAGGTTCAAGTGATTCTCTTGCCTCAGCCTCCTGAGTAGCTGGGATTAAAGGCACCTGCCACTGAGCCTGGCTAATTTTTCTATTTTTAGTAGAGACGGGGTTTCTCCATGTTGACTAGGCTGGTCTTGAACTCCTGACCTCAGGTGATCCACCTACCTTGGCCTCCCAAAGTGCTAGGATTACAGGCATCAGCCACCATGCCCAGCCTCATTAGGGGCTTCTTCTTAAAGTTGTCTTCTGTGCTTTTTTTTCCCCTGTGGTAATGGGAAAATTTTTTTTTTTGTATTTTGGGTAGAGAGAGGGTTTCACCATGTTGTCCAGCCTGGTCTCAAACTCCTGACCTCAAGTGATCCACCCACCTCAGCTTCCCAAAGTGCTCAGATCACAGGAGTAAACCACTGTGCCAGGCCTTAATCAGCAATTTTTATTTTATTTATTTTACTTTTTTTTTAAGAAGCAGAGTCTCATTTTGTTGCCCAGGCTTGAGTGCAGTGGCACAATGTTAGCTCATGCAGCCTCTAACTCCTGGGCTCAAGTGATGCTCCCACCTTAGCCTCTGGAGTAGCTGGGACTACAGATGCATGCCACCATTCTTGACTAATTTTTTAAAGTTTTCATACAGACAGGGTCTCCCTATGTTTCCCAGGCTGGTCTTGAATTCCTGGCTTCAAGTGATCCTCTTGCCTCAACCTCCCAAAGTGCTGGCATTACAGGCAGTGCGCCTAGCCTTTTGTACTCTGTTGAGGTGCTCTCTCATTCTACATTTTCTTGAACATTGCCTTACTTTCTGCCATCATAAAATGTTCCGGGCTCATATTATTACTTTTCTTGCCCCAGTCCTGGAATCAACCATTTTCCCAAGAAGCACTGGGTTTGTTTTGTTTTTGTTTTTGTTTTTGTTTTTTGGACAATGGCACATAGAAAACAAGATCTGAATGCTAGGTATATAAAAAGCATTTTGTAACACATTGTGGAAAATAGAGAAAAAAATCAGATGAGGGCAGTGTGTGCTCTAAGTTGAGCACAGTGTACTCACTAGACACCCAGTAAGTGTTTGATGTTAGTGTGGCTACACTTGTAACCAGATATAGTCAATGACAAAAATGCTTCGTCTAGACAGTATGGGTAAGGTGACCCACTAGCTCTGCTTACCAGGTATTGAGGAGTTTCTCGGGACACTGGACTTTCAGTATGAAAACCAGGAAAGTCCCAGGCAACCTGGGATGAGCTGGTCACCCTAATATGGAATAGGGTCGGCGAGGAAGGGAAGGAATCAATGTTGGCTGCAATCAGCAGAGGAGCCTTCTGGAGGGTGGGAAGCATAGCTTGTGTGGCTCTCTGAGACATCAGGAGTTGCTAAGAATCCCTTTCTCTGCTCCTTAGGCATCTCAGATGCTGTCATCCTCCATGAGTAGCATTTGCAGCATGGATCTCATCCATAGTTTCTGATTCTCTGCCCTATCCTCACTGAGCTGTAAATAATAACTTTGGACCATTCAACACTGCTCAGATAAGCTGTGATGGGAAACATGGTCTGTGTCAATGGAGCACGTGGTTCTGCCAGTGACTGCCTGTTGGAGCAGGCCGTGGGAAGTCCAGATGTACAATTACTACTGGGCTTCCAACAGCATCCCATCCGGGGTTTACAGAAATGCAACTAAATCAACAAAGGTTTTGTTTCAAGCATTACTGTCCACAGCTGCTGTGGCATCTCAGTTTTTTCTATCAAATATTTTCCACAAGGGCTGAGTGGGAGGCTGAAGGATCAGAGGAAGAAAGGTTTAGAGATGAATGCACCTTAGGCTTGAGCAGAAAGTCAGTCAAACACCTTGTTAAATCCCCTGCCTTTATACACAATTATATTATGGCCCCATTCTGAAGATTCAGAAACTGAGGCTTCAGAACCATTCATGGTTATGCCCAAGCTGCAGCATGATACGTGCTAGGGAAGAGAGGAGAGAACTATTTCCTCTAAGACTAGCGCTCATTTTCCAACACTAACGCTTCCTCAATTATGTTCCTAAAACTCACATAATGTGCATAATGAGAAAGTACTCATTAAAAAAATAGTTTACTGAATCTAGATTTCCCCATCTTATTTGCACATGAAGCTCTTTCTTCACCAAATTCCTATTATGAGACCACAGAGAGCTGAGTCTAAGAAAATCATCACGGGTGGGGAACTTGAGGTTTTTTTTAAAAAAAGAAGTGAAAAATCATGGACGTTGTAGAAGTACTATAATACTGTAACTGCTAATGAGGGGATTGTTTGGGTTGATAACTCTACTGGACTGATACAACGTAAAGGCATTTTGGTTTTTTTTTTCTTTTTTTATTATACTTTAAGTTTTAGGGTACTTGTTCACAACGTGTAGGTTAGTTACATATGTATACATGTGCCATGCTGGTGTGCTGCACAAAGTAACTCCTCATTTAACATTAGGTATATCTCCTAATGCTATCCCTCCCCCCTCCCCCAACCCCACAACAGACCCCAGAGTGTGATGTTCCCCTTCCTGTGTCCATGTGGTCTCATTTTTCAATTCCCACCTATGAGTGAGAACATGCGTTGTTTGGTTTTTTGTCCTTGGATAGTTTGCTGAGAATGATGGTTTCCAGCTTCATCCATGTCCCTACAAACGACATGAACTCATCATTTTTTATGGCTGCATAGTATTCCATGGTGTATATGTGCCACATTTTCTTAATCCAGTCTATCGTGGTTGGACATTTGGGTTGGTTCCAAGCCTTTGCTATTGTGAATAATGCCGCAATAAACATACGTGTGCATGTGTCTTTATAGCAGCATGATTTATAATCCTTTGGGTATATACCCAGTAATGAGATTGCTGGATCAAATGATATTTCTAGTTCTAGATCCCTGAGGAGTCACCACACTGACTTCCACAATGGTTGAACTAGTTTACAGTCCCACCAACAGTGTAAAAGTGTTCCCATTTCTCCACATCCTCTCCAGCACCGGTTGTTTCCTGACTTTTTAATGATTGCCACTCTAACTGGTGTGAGAAGGTATTTCACTGTGGTTTTGTATTGCATTTCTCTGATGGCCAGTGATGGTGAGCATTTTTTCATGTGTCTTTGGGCTGCATAAATGTCTTCTTTTGAGGAGTGTCTGTTCCTATCCTTCACCCACTTTTTGATGGGGTTGTTGGTTTTTTTCTTGTAAATTTGTTTGAGTTCATTGTAGATTCTGGATATTAGCCCTTTGTCAGATGGGTAGATTGCAAAAATTTTCTCCCATTCTGCAGGTTGCCTATTCACTCTGATGGTAGTTTCGTTTGCTGTGCAGAAGCTCTTTAGTTTAATTAGATCCCATTTGTCAATTTTGGCTTTGGTTGCTATTGCTTTTGGTGATTTAGACATGAAGTCCTTGCCTATGCCTATGTCCTGAATGGTATTGCCTAGGTTTTCTTCTAGGGTTTTTATGGTTTTAAATCTAACATGTAAGTCTTTAATCCATCTTAAATTAATTTTTGTATAAGGTGTAAGGAAGGGATCCAGTTTCAGCTTTCTACATATGGCTAGCCAGTTTTCCCAGCACCATTTATTAAATAGGGAATCCTTTCCCCATTTCTTGTTTTTGTCAGGTTTGTCAAAGTTCAGATGGTTGTAGATATGCAGCATTATTTCTGCGGTCTCTATTCTGTTCCATTGGTCTATATCTCTGTTTTGTTACCAGTACCATGCTGTTTTGGTTACTGTAGCCTTGTAGTATAGTTTGAAGTCAGGTAGCGTGATGTCTCCAGCTTTGTTCTTTTGGCTTAGGATTGACTTGGCAATGTGGGCTCTTTTTTGGTTCCATATGAACTTTAAAGTAGTTTTTCTCCAATTCTGTGAAGAAAGTCATTGGTAGCTTGATGGGGATGGCATTGAACCTATAAATTACCTTAGGCAGTATGGCCATTTTCATGATATTGATTCTTCCTACCCATGAGCATGGAATGATCTTCCAGTTGTTTCTATCCTCTTTTACTTCATTGAGCAGTGATTTGTGGTTCTCCTTGAAGAGGTCCTTCACGTCCCTTGTAAGTTGGATTCCTTGGTATTTTATTCTCTTTGAAGCAATTGTGAATGGGAGTTCACTCATGATTTGGCTCTCTGTCTGTTATTGGTGTATAAGAATGCTTGTGATTTTTGCACATTGATTTTGTATCTTGAGACTTTGCTGAAATTGCCTATCAGCTTAAGGAGATTTTGGGCTGTGATGATGGGGTTTTCTAGATATACAATCATGTCATCTGCAAACAGGAACAATTTGACTTCCTCTTTTCCTAATTGAATACCATTTATTTCCTTCTCCTTCCTGATTGCCCTGGCCAGAATTTCCAACACTCTGTTGAATAGGAGTGGAGAGAGAGGGCATCCCTGTCTTGTGCCAGTTTTCAAAGGGAATGCTTCCAGTTTTTGCCCATTCAGTATGATATTGGCTGTGGGTTTTTTATAGATAGCTCTTATTATTTTGAGATACGTCCCATCAATACTTAATTTATTGAGAGTTTTTAGCATGAAGTGTTGTTGAATTTTGTCAAAGGCCTTTTCTGCATCTATTGAGATAATCATGTGGTTTTTGTCATTGGTTCTGTTTATATGCTGGAGTACGTTTATTGATTTGGGTATGTTGAGCCAGCCTTGCATCTGAGGGATGAAGCCCACTTGATCATGCTGGATAAGCTGGATTCAGCTTATGTGCTGCTGAATTCAGTTTGCCAGTATTTTATTGAGGATTATTACATCGATCTTCATCAGGGATATTGGTCTAAAATTCTCTTTTTTTGTTGTGTCTCTGCTAGGCTTTGGTATCAGGATGATGCTGGCATCATAAAATGAGTTAGGGAGGATTCCCTCTTTTTCTATTGATTGGAATCATTTCAGAAGGAATGATACCAGCTCCTCCTTGTACTTCTGGTAGAATTTGGCTGTGAATCCAACTGGTCCTGGATGTTTTTTGGTTGGTAAGCTATTAATTATTGCCTCAATTTCAGAGCCTGTTATTGGTCTATTCAGAGATTCAACTTCTTCCTGGTTTAGTCTTGGGAGGGTGTATGCGTCCAGGAATTTATCCATTTCTTCTAGATTTTCTAGTTTATTTGCATAGAGGTGTTTATAGTATTCTCTGACGGTAGTTTGTATTTCTGTGGGATTGGTGGTGATATCCCTTTTATCATTTTTTATTGCATCTATTTGATTCTTCTCTCTCTTCTTCTTTATTAGTCATGCTGGTGGTCTATCGATTTTGTTGATCTTTTCAAAAAACCAGCTCCTGGATTCATTGATTTTTTGAAGGGTTTTTGTGTTGCTATTTCCTTCAGTTCTGCTCTGATCTTACTTATTTCTTGCCTTCTGCTAGCTTTTGAATGTGTTTGCTCTTGCTCCTCTAGTTCTTTTAATTGTGATGTTAGGGTGTCAATTTTTTATCTTTCCTGCTTTCTCTTGTGGGCCTTTAGTGCTATAAATTTTCCTCTACACACTGCTTTAAATGTGTCCCCCACATTTAAATATGTCCCAGAGATTCTGGTATGTTGTATCTTTGTTCTCGTTGGTGTCAAAGAACATCTTTATTTCTGCCTTCATTTCATTATGTATCCAGTAGTCATTCAGGAGCAGGTTGTTCAGTTTCCATGTACTTGAGTGGTTTTGAGTGAGTTTCTTAATCCTGAGTTCTAGTTTGATTCCACTATGGTCTGAGAGACAGTTTGTTATAATTTCTGTTCTTTCACATTTGCTGAGGAGTGCTTTACTTCCAACCATGTGGTCAATTTTGGAATAAGTGCGATGTGGTGCTGAGAAGAATGTCTATTCTGTTGATTTGCGGTGAAGAGTTCTGTAGATGTCTACTAGGTCCACTTGGTGCAGAGCTGAGTTCAATTCCTGGATTTCCTTGTTAACTTTCTGTTTCGTGGATCTGTCTAATGTTGACAGTGGGGTGTTATAGTCTCCCATTAATATTGTGTCAGAGTCTAAGTCTCTTTCTAGGTCTCTAAGGACTTGCTTTATGAATCTGGGTGCTCCTGTATTGGGTGCATATATATTTAGATAGTTACCTCTTCTTGTTGAATTGATTCCTTTGCCATTATGTAATGGCCTTCTTTGTCTCTTTTGATATTTGTTGGTTTAAAGTCTGTTTTATCAGAGACTAGGATTGCAACACCTGCCTTTTTTAGATTTCCATTTGCTTGGTAGATCTTCTTCCATCCCTTTATTTTGAGCCTATGTGTGTCTCTACATGTGAGATGGGTTTCCTGAATACAGCAGACTGATGGGTCTTGACTCTTTATCTAATTTGCCAGCCTGTGTCTTTTAATAGGAGCATCTAGCCCATTTACATTTAAGGTTAATATTGTTATGTGTGAATTTCATCCTGTCATTATGATGTTAGCTGGTTATTTTGCTCATTAGTTCATGCAGTTTCTTCCTAGCCTTGATGGTCTTTACAATTTGGCATGTTCTTGCAGTGGCTGGTACTGGTTGTTCCTTTCCATGTTTAGTACTTCCTTTAGGAGCTCTTTTAGGGCGGGCCTGGTAGTGACAAAATCTCTCAGCATTTGCTTGTCTGTAAAGGATTTTATTTCTCCTTCACTTATGAAGCTTATTTTGGCTGGATATGAAATTCTGGGTTGAAAATTCTTTTCTTTAAGAATGTTGAATATTGGTCCCCACTCTCTTCTGGCTTGTAGGGTTTCTGCCAAGAGATCAGCTCTTAGTCTGATGGGCTTCCCTTTGTGGGTAACCCGACCTTTCTCTCTGGCTGCCCTTAACATTTTTTCCTCCATTTCAACTTTGGTGAATCTGATAATTACATGTCTTGGAGTTGCTCTTCTTGAGGAATATCTCTGTGGTATTCTCTGTATTTCCTGCATTTGAATGTTGGCCTGCCTTGATAGATTGGGGAAGTTCTCCTGGATAATTTCCTGCAGAGTGTTTTCCAACTTGGTTCCATTCTCCCTGTCACTTTCAGATACACCAATCAGACGTAGATTTGGTCTTTTCACATAGTCCCATATTTCTTGGAGGCTTTGTTCATTTCTTTTTATTCTTTTTTCTCTAAACTTCTCTTCTCACTTCATTTCATTCATTTTATCTTCCATCATTGATACCCTTTCTTCCAGTTGATCCAATCGGCTACTGAGGCTTGTGCATTCATCACGTAGTTCTTTTGCCTTGGTTTTCAGCTCCACCACATCCTTTAAGGACTTCTCTGCATTGGTTATTCTAGTTAGCCATTAGTCTAATTTTTTTCCAAGGTTTTTTACTTCTTTGCCTTTGGTTCAATCTTCCTCCTTTAGCTCGGAGTAGTTTGTTCATCTGAAGCCTTCTCTCAATTCGTCATAGTTGTTCTCCGTCCAGCTTTGTTCTGTTGCTGATGAGGAGCTGCATTCCTTTGGAGGAGGAGAGGTGTTCTGATTCTTAGTTTCCAGTTTTTCTGCTCTGTTTTTTCCCCATCTTTGTGGTTTTATCTACCTTTGGTCTTTGATGATGGTGACGTACAGATGGGTTTTTT
Source organism: Homo sapiens (assembly GCF_000001405.40). NCBI lineage: Eukaryota > Metazoa > Chordata > Mammalia > Primates > Hominidae > Homo > Homo sapiens. The sequence continues at coordinate 50,198,941 of NC_000011.10, forward strand.
ATGTGGATGTCCTTTCTGTTTGTTAGTTTTCCTTCTAACAGACAGGACCCTCAGCTGCAGGTATGTTGGAGTTTGCTGGTGGTCCACTGCAGACCCTGTTTGCCTAGGTATCAGTAGCAGAGGCTGCAGAACAGCAGATACTGGTGAGTAGCAAATGTTGCTGCCTGAGCATTCCTCTGGAAGTTTTGTGTTAGAGGAGTACCTGGCCATGTGAGGTGTCCGTCTGCCCCTACTGGGGGGTGCCTCCCAGTTAGGCTACTCAGGGGTCAGGGACCCACTTGTGGAGGCATTCTGTCTGTTCTCAGATCTCCAGCTGCATCCTGGGAAAACCACTACTCTCTTCAAAGCTGTCAAACAAGGACATTTAAGTCTTCAGAGGATTCTGCTGCCTTTTGTTTGGCTATTCCCTGCCCCCAGAGGTGGAGTCTACAGAGGCAGGCAGGCCTCCTTGAGCTGCAGTGGGCTCCACCCAGTTCGAGCTTCCCAGCTGCTTTGTTTACCTACTCAAGCCTTGGAAATTGTGGGTGCCCCACCCCCATCCTCACTGCCACCTTGCAGTTTGATCTCAGACTGCTGTGCTAGCCATGAGTGAGGCTTCACGGGCATAGGACCCTCCGAGCCATGCACGGGATATAATCTTCTGGTGTGCCGTTTGCTAAGACCATTGGAAAAGTGCAGTATTAGGGTGGGAGTGACCCGATTTTCCAGGTGCCATCTGTCAGCCCTTTCTTTGACTAGGAAAGGGAATTTGCTGACCCCTTGCACTTCCTGGGTGAGGTGATGCCTCGCCCTGCTTTGACTAACACTGGGTGCACTGAACCCACTGTCCTGCACCCACTTTCTGACACTCCCCAGTGAGATGAACCCGGTACCTCATTTGGAAATGAAGAAATTACCCGTCTTCTGTGTCGCTCATGCTGGGAGCTGTAGACTGGAGCTGTTACTATTTGGCCATCTTGGCTCCATACCCATAATGGCATTTTGATTGGCTGAGACATGGTTTACTTTAGACTACAAAGTACTGTCCCTTTCTTTCAATGTGGCTGTTTCAGTGGTATTTGTTTCAATCCTATTTTTTCAGCCAGTGGGTGAAGGACAGCACAGAAGTCATATAAAGGCTTTCATTAAGAGATTTTGGGCTTGGTGCATTGTAATCCCAGGACTTTGGGAGGCCTAGGTAGGTGGATTGCTTGATCTCAGACGTTTGAGACCAGACTGGGCAACATGGTGAAAACCTGTCTCTACAAAAAAAAAAAAATGCAGAAATGAACCAGGCATGGTGGTGTGTGCCTGTATTCCCTGCTACTCAGGAGGTTAAGGTGGGAGGGTAGCTTGAGTCTGGGAGGTTGAGGCTGCAGTGAGCCATCATCATGCCACTGCACTCCAGCGTGGGCAACATAGCGAGACCCTGTCTCAAAAAAAGAGAGATTTTTAGAGACTCTGAGCACACACAGTGTTACTTTGGGGTCCAGGTGATCCCAAAGTGTGTGAAGCAGAGTCACTCAGAGAGCCAATCTCCTCATCCTGACACAGTCTTTAGTGCAGGGCTGACACTTTGAGAACTTGTAGTTGTGGAAGCATTAGGAGATAGCACCTCTGACAAATACCTTGACGCTTCTGTACAAGGAGCTCCTGCCTATAAGTGATAAAAAGAGAGCAACCCCATTTTTTAAAAAAGAGAAGATTTGCTATGAAAAGGATGTTTGTAGAATGGGAAGCCACCAAGATTTTGACCACAAAATGAGAGCCCAAGGTTCCTGGTAATTAGAAATAAGACAAATGCAAATTCAAACCACAGTGAGCTACTTCTTCATGCCTACTGGACTAGGTGACAATTAGATAGCTGGTGGGGCTGTGGGAGGCCACATGCTCTGTTGGTGGGTGGGTGGACTGGTACAGACATTGTGATGTTACTCATGCAAATTATATATATGCATATACATGCCTCAGAAATTCCTTGACTGGTATCTATCTCAGGGTCCATAATGGGACTTGTACAAGGAAGTTTTTTGCATTATGGTTTATGGTGGGGAAGTTGGAGGATTCCTGGGAATTCATTACTAGAAGTGGAGAGGTCAGGATAGGCAGGGGTCATATAGTTTGGATACTTGTCCCTTCCAAATCTCCTGTTGAAATATGATCCCCAATGTTAGAGGCGGGGCCTGGTGGGAGGTGATTGGATCATGTATAAGTTCATTCTCACACTGCCATAAAGATACTAGCCGAGACTGGGTAATTTGTAAATAAAAGAGGTTTAATTGGCTCACAGTTCAGCATGGCTGGGGATGCCTCAGGAAACGTACAATCATGGCAGAAGGGGAAGCATGCTCCTTCTTCACAAGGTGGCAGAAAAGAGTGTGAGCGTAAGAGAAACTTGCCAAACACTTATAAAACCATCAGATCTCATGAAAACTCACTCACTGTCATGAGAACAGCATGGGGAAAACCACCCTGATGATCTTATCACCTCCCACAAGGTCTCTTTCCTCAACATCTGGGGATTACAATTCAAGAGGAGATTTGGGTGGGGACACAAAGCCTAACCATATCAGATCATGAGTGTGGATCCCTCATGAATGGCTTAGCGCCATTCTTTGGTGATAAGTGAGCTCTCACTCAGTTAGTTCATGTGAGACCTGATCGTTTAACAGAGTTTGGAAACTCCCTCTTCTCCCTCACTTGCTCTCTCTCTTGCCACGTGTTATGCCAGCTCTCTCTATATCTTCTGCCATGTTTGGTATCTTCTTGATGCCTCTCCAGGAGCAGATGCTGGTGCCATGCTTCTTGTATGGTCCATAGAACCATGAGACAAATAAACCTATTTTCTTTTTAAATTATCCAGCCCCAGGTATTTCTTTAAACAACACAATAAAAGACTAACACAAGGGGTAATATTCAGCTGATAGGCATGATACAGCCACACGGGTTGTTGAAATAGTGAAACAGTGTCCTCATGTCATGTGGGTTGATAACTAGCTGCTTCCCAGCCTACTAAATGCCTCTCCATCTTCCCTGCAAACCTACCCTAACCTTTCCTGCTGCAGCAATTTAAGATTAAATTCTGAATTTCAGGAGCCTGTGGGATCCAGCTCCAGCCCAGCATTGAGGCAACCTCCTCATTAGGTCATGCCTATGTTGTTCAAGGGTTAAATATTTTGTACATTAAAAGTGTGGAGGGGTCAGCCACAATAAATTTATACCATGGGCTACTAGGCAGTAGTTAGGAGCAATGGCTGTAGATACAAGCTTATATCTTAAAAAAAAACTAGTTCTTATGCAAGTGAATTGTTCTATATCAATGTCATTTACAGAAATTAAAAATTGCATGCACACAAAACTAAAATGTGCATTTTGTAAGAACACATTCAAAAGGTGAGACACACAAATGATACATTAAATGATTGTTTAGGGAAGAAAAGAGAACTGGAGTGAGTTGTGGCAATTAAAGGTGCACAACAATGTAATGTGCACCTTCATAGCCCCTTTCTCTGTTTTCAAATCCAGGAACATTGCATCTCTCTCACCATTCTCCCATAATCACCCCTCCCTCTCTGACTTTTTTTTTTTCAGATGGGGTCTTGCTCTGTTGCCCAAGCTGGAGTGCAGTGATGCCCAAATCCTAATCCCCAGAACGTGTGAATATGTTATCTTACATGGACAAAATGATTTTTCAGATGTGATCAAGGTTAAAGACTTTGAGATGAGGGTATCATCTCAGATTATCCAGGTGGGATATTATCCATAGCTCACTGTAGCCTCAACCCCTGTGCTCAAGTGATCCTCCCTTTTCAGCCTCCCAAGTAGCTAGGAACTACAGACATGCACCATGATGCCTGGTGAATTTTTAAATTTTTCTTTCGTAGAGACAGTCTTGCTATGTTGCCCAGGCTGCTTTCAATCTCTTAGGCTGAAGCGATCCTCCTGCCTCAGCTTCTCAAAGTTCTGGGATTACAAGCATGAGTCACTGTGCCCAGCCTCTCTCTCTGACTCTGACCTCAGCTGGAAAAGTTTCTTTTAAGGACTCATGTGATTAGGTTGAGCCCACCTGGATAATCTGAGATGATACCCTCATCTCAAAGTCCTTAACCTTAATCACATCTGCAAAATACTTTTGTCCATGTAAGATAACATATTCACATGTTCTGGGGATTAGGATTTGGGCATCTTTAGGGGACCATTATTCTGCCCACCAAAGAGATGAACAGAAATATTTTGGGGTGAAATGATGCCAAAGGAGAAACCAGGGTAGAAAAGAAGGGAATTTGCCACTGATTTGGTGTCCATGTGATGTCTAGTCCAAACATTGATGAAGTCTGCCAATATTTGAGCTGCACTTAGAATAGAGTCATTTGCAGAAGATCAAAAAAGATCTTCTTAACCGGGTATGGTGGCAGATGCCTGTAATCCCAGCTAGGGAGGTTGGAGTGAGCTGAGATCACACCACTGCACTCCAGCCTGGGCAACGGAGTATGACTCTGTCTCAGACACAGACACACACACGCACACACACACACACACACACACAAATAACCCCTGCCACCAAAACCACTATACAAACATATATTCAGTCATATGCCACATAATGACACTTGGATCAGTGATGAACTCTATGACAGTGCTCCCATGAAATTATAATAATGCATTTTTGCTGTTTCTTTTCTATGTTTAGATACACAAACGCCATTGTGTTACAGTTGCCTACAGAATTCAGTACAGTCATATGCCAAATAGATTTGTAGCCAAGGAGCAGTGGGCTCTACCATATGGCCTAGGTGTGTGGTCGGCCCTACCATCTAGCCTTGTGTAAGCTCACTCTATGATGTTCACACAATGATGGAATTGCTGAACAAAGCATTTGTCAGAAAATATCTCTATTTTTAAGTGATGAATGACTGCAGTGTGATTAAAGCAAGACTCCAAAATAAATTCTTAGCTTTGAATATTTTGTAATAAAATAAAAAGGTGAAAATAAACAAAATGAAGCATTCTAACTAAAATTTAAAAATAAAGAAAATAATTATAGTGTCTACTTAAACAACATGAAACCATGAAACCTAGCAATAAATGTATTTTAGAAGAGATTAATAGCATAACTAAAATACTAGCTATTTAGTATAAAATATTATACTAAATATAAAATTAAATAATATTATTAATATTAATTAGTAAATAAATAGTAATATTAAATAAAATACTAAAATACCTGGGGCTGGGGGTGGTGGCTCACACCTGTAATCTCAGCACTTCAGGAGGCAGAGGTGGGTGGATCACTTGAAGTCAAGAGTTTGAGACCAGCCTGGCCAACATGGTGAAATCTCTACTAAAAATACAAAAGTTAGCCTAGCCTGGTGGTGCACACCTGTAATCCCAGCTACTTGGGTGGCTGAGGCAGGAGAATTGCTTGAACTCGGGAGGCAGAGGTTGCAGTAAGCAGAGATCATGCCACTGCACTCCAGCCTGGGCAACAGAGTGAGAATCCATCTAAAAAAAAAAAAAAGAAGAAGAACTAAAACACTAGCAAGATTCAAAACATGAGAGAAAAAAGGAGGTGTAACAATAGAAAATAATAATGCACTTTTAATGCATTATTATAAATGCAATTATGAGGTATACATAATTATATTATTAATGAAATATCTTAATGAGATGTATTATTTTTACATAACATAAATCGACAATGGCAAATTGATGTAAGATCAAATAAGAATTTGAAATTATACTAAGGAATGAAACAAATGAGAAATATTTAATGTGGGTGTTTTCTGCTCCCTGTCTTTACAAAAAGACAGAAAGCTATAAGATTTATCCTATAAGGTAGATGCTCCTGTTCCCAATACCCTGACCAAGATAATCAAAAGTGTTTTAGAATAATCTCACTTGTGAATACAAAACTATGTGATTAATAACAATGTCAGTAAGTAGAATTTAATGATACATTAAAATAATATAAAAGCACAAAGGGTTTGTCCCAAGTATGGAAGTGATCAATATTAAGAAAAACATTAATATATTACTATAGCTTATATTACATCTCTGAAAAATGAGTCTATAAATCAATAAATGAGTAGATATTAAAGGGTGTTTTATCAAGTCAATCCATTATTATTTTAAAGTCTTATAAAGACATATAAGAATTAGAGACTACTTCCTTAATATTATCAAGAGTATATTCTAAGCTATTAATAATAATTGACATTATGCTCCAAGGAGAAATAAACCCTCTAAGGATTTCTCTTCCAACAAATCACCTAACAAAATTCCCTTGTCTGCCTTTTCAGTTAATTCACTTTTGAAAGTTATGAGAACCGGTTTTGCGTATCTTGGCTATCAAGGAGGTTAGAGACTCAACTTTCATCTGAAAGAACACTAAGTATCTGATATAATTTGAAAGTTTGTCCCCTCCAAATCTCATGTCAAAATATGATCCCCAATGTTAGAGGTGTGTGGTCATGGAGTGGATCCTTCATGAATGGCTTGGTGCTTGCCCCAAGGTAATCAGTGAGTTCTTGCTCTGTTACTTCACTGAAGAGCAGGTTGGTTATTTATTTATTTATTTATTTATTTATTTATTTATTTATATTTCTATTTATTTATTTTGAGACAGAGTCTCACTCTGTCACCCAGGCAGGAGTGCAGTGGTGCGATCTCTGCTCCCTCCAACCTCCACTTCCTGGGTTCAAGCAATTCACCTGCCTCGACCTTATGAGTAGCTGGGGTTACAGGCGCTTGCCACCATGCCTGGCTATTTTTTTATATTTTTAGTAGAGATGGGATTTCACTGTGTTAGCCAGGATGGTCTCAATCTCCTGACCTTGTGATCCATGCACCTCGGCCCCCCAGAGTGTAGGAATTACAGGCATGAAGAGCTGGTTGTTTAAAGGAGCCTGGAACCTCCTCCTCTCTCTCTTGCTTCCTCTCTCTCCATGTGATACATTGGCTCCCCATTCACCTTCTGCCATGATTGGAAGCTTCCTGAAGTCCTCACCAGAAGCAGACACTGGCACCATTCTTCTTGTACAGCCTGGAGAACCATGAGCCAAATAAACCTCTTTTCTCTCTAAATTACCCAGTCTTGGGTATTTCTTTATAGCAATGCAAAATGGACTAACACAGTAACCTTGAGACACTAGTTCTCTTCCTGCTGCCAGGTGGGGTAGTGATTGCTTTCTCACCAGGTGCTGCTTTGGAAACACAGCACAATGAAAAGCAGAAAGCTCACTTTTACTTCTTAGGGGTTGTCTGGTCTGAACCCCACACTTTGCACGTGAGAACACTGATCTTCGGAAAGGAAAAGTGAGTTATGTAAGAGCAAACACTTACTGGCAGAGCTAGGGATGAATAATCACAATTTACAGAACACCCACCACTCACCCCTTGAACAGCCTTAGGAAAAATGTTGCACTTCCTATTACATTCTTTTTGTTGTTGTTGTTTATTTTTGAGATGGAGTCTCACTCTGTCACCCCAGCTGGAGTGCAGTGGTGTGATCTCGGTTCACTGCAAACTCTGCCTACTTGTTTCAAGCAATTCTCCTGTGTCAGCCTCCCAAGTAGCTGGGATTACAGGCACCCACCACCACACCGGGCTAATTTTTATATTTTTAGTAGAGATGGGGTTTCACCATGTTGGTCAGGCTGGTCTCGAACTCCTGACCTCAAGTGATTCACCTGCCTCACTTCCCAAAGTGCTGGGATTACGGGACCTATTACATTCTTGCAGATGAGAAGAGTGAGACTTGGAGGCATTAAACAACTGTCCTAAGATCACCCAGTAAGAAGAAGCAGAGCAGAGCAGGCAGAACACCCAGGATACGTTTGTAATTTTTATTTTTTATGACATTTCATAAAATAATGTTAAAATGTTTATGTCTCTCTTTTTTTTTTCTGAGGCAGAGTCTTGCTCTGTCACCCAGGCTGGAGTGCAGTGGCATGATCATACCTCACTGTAGCCTCGACCTCCCCTGCTCAAGCAATCCTCCCACCTCAGCCTTATGAGTAGGTGGGACTACAGGTGGGCACCACCACACCTGGCTAATTTTTTTTTTATTTTGCAGAGATAGTGGTCTCGATATGTTGCTTGGCTGGTCTCAAACTGGGTTGAAGCAATCCTCCTGCCTCGGCCTCCCAAAGTGTTGGGATTACTGGTGTGAGCCACCCATACCCAGCCTTGTATCTGTTTTAAATATTTGTTCACTATTTATTCAATGAGGCCAGGATCAGCATATCACCTGCCATGTCAAGGGCAAACCACCAAAGCAGAAGTCCAGAGCAGAGACCACATTTCTGATTTAGTATGACAGGTTGACATGGCCTGGGACCCTGTCTCAATCTGGTTCAGAGACAGAGTTTTGGATTGGAGCTCAAATTTGCTGTTTCCATAGCCTGTGTACTGGGCTATGGCACTCAGACCTCCCAATTCCTGGACAAATGTACTTTTCTTGCAAACCCCTTTCTGAAAATTGAAATGAAGATGGCATTGTTTTCCTCTCCCAGGTCATTCCAGGGGTATTTCTTGTCCACCTACATTGTGCAGAGTAATAAGCATGAGACCAGGCAGGCAGGGTCTAACCTCACCTAGAGGATAAGACCAGGCTGAAACATGCGACTGCATTTTCAGGCTGTGGTTTAACATTTGTCTCTAGAAATTCCAGCCAGGTGGGGTTAGTCTCGACTTCTCTGGCTTCTTTAGGAAGCTTTCTTTTCTGGTTCCTGATGTTTGGCTTTCTGCGGGGAGGTGCCTGTAAATTTTCTCACTGTGGATTTTGCTTTGGTTTCTGATCTTTGCTTTGGTTTCTTTCTTGCAGGAGAAGGCTTCCACTGCACTACTGGAAGAAACCATTGCTTTGGGAATTTTCTATCCTGCAGCCCTCAGCAACCCTCTGCTGGAATGCTGCCACTATGACTGCTAGAGACACTTCATGGAAGCCCACAGGACATGTCACCTTTTCTCATGGGCTCATTTCATGGGCCAGGCACGAGCTTCTGTTCATTCCACCTATGGGTTTGAAGGTCAACTCTGCAGCACCTGTTTAATCTCTAGAAAAGATGCTGATAAAACTTGGAAATGTTGTAGCTCAGGTATCTTCATTATAATTGAAGCCACCTTTGCAAAAAGTATGACAGTGAGAGAAACGTGACATAGAAAAATTATGATAGGGAAAGAAATATCACCTAACTGATTCCATCTTGCTTCTGACCTCCAAGCTGCCTTTGTTCATTCCTGGGCATAGGCCAACCTAACCATGGAGAAATTTAATTTATAGTTTGACTTTCAATCAAGGATGATAAGAGTCCCTTTCTAAAACTGACCTCCTCCTTGTCCCAGTACTGACACCACCTTTGTAAGACCCATGAAAGGCCACGGAGATTGGGATTATAGGAGGGGTCTGAATTCTGCTAAGATGTAGGCATAGTTAAATAATAACCCACCATTGTTCCATAGCTTGCTTGCTTATAATCCCTAATCACTCAGGATTCTTGAAGCCAGAGGTCACAAGATTTATGACTTCTCCAATTGCTCATATAGATAACATCACTATTGTAGAACCTAAGGGGGGCCTTTTGAGATGTTTTCCAGACTTTTGCATTCTTACAACTAACTCCATTTGGACCCATGACTCATGACTCAACCAGTCGTGTGGTCCCCACCTAAGGGCTGACTCAGCTCATGAGGACTGTTTTCCACACCCCTATGATTTTATCTCCAACCAATAAGCAGCAACCACTGCTTAGCCCCTCCCAGGCAAATTATCCATGAAAACCCTAGCTTCCAAGCTTTCAGGGAGACTGATCTGAGTAATAAACTCCTATCTCCTGCTTAGCTAGCTGTGTTTATTAAACTCTCTGTTACAATACTGCTATCTTGGTATATTGGCTGTATCTGTGCAGTAGGGGAGAAGAATCCATCAGGCAATTACATGATAACTCCTTAATATTTAATTAACAGCCATACTCATGAAACACTATTTCTAAATATTTATTCAACACAGTCCCCAGAGGACCAGTGGCATGAAACATGACACTCAAGTTCTTCAAACTGATACCTTAAACTGTCTGGGCTTTATTCACTTCCCAGATATGATGGAAATAAGTTTCATTGCTTCCTTTTAAGAAGTTGAACTTATTTCTGATTCATGCCCTAACTGCATCCAGTTTTCTCTCCTGCAGTATTTTTTGCTCAAGCCAAATGGAGCTTGTTGCATTTTATCCTCATTCACACCATGTATTTCTACACTGTCACCCCTTTGTCCAGGCCATTCCTTTTGCCTGAAATGCCCTTCTCACGGATGGATCTCTGCCTTCCCACAGTCCACTCATGCTTCAAAGTGCCTCTAAAAATAAAGATATCAAAAAGACACCTGCACTTGTATGTTTATCATAGCATTATTCACAATAGAAAAGATGTGGAATCCACCTAAGTGCCCATCAAGGGAAGATTGGATTTTAAAAATGTGTTATATAGACATCATGAAATACTACTCAGCCATTACAAAGAATGAAATAAAATCATGTCTTTTGTAGAAACACAAATGGAACTGGAGGCCATAATCCTAGGTGAAATAACTAAGGAACAGTAAGCCAAATACCACACAGTCTCACTTGTAAGTGGAGGCTAAACAATGGGTAGACATGGACATACAGAGGGAATAATAGACATTGGAGACTATGAAAGGTGGGAGGCTGGGAGGGGGTGAGGACTGAAAAAGTACCTATTGGGTACGATGTTCACTATTTGGGTGATGGGCACAGGAAAAGCCCAGACTTCACCACTCCACAATATATTCTCTAAGAAACCTGCACTTGCACCCCCTAAACACATAGAACTACAAACAAAATTTTACCCAAAACAAACAGAAAAGTACAAAATGCTTCCAAATGCCAAATGTTTTATGCTGTGCTATGGATCTGTGTGGTGTGGGGAACACATTCAAAATTCATAGTTTTCATGTCTCCCTCAGCAGGTACTTTCTGCTGGGCTCCCTCTTGTCTCTGACAACCCAGGATGCATGGAGAGTTCACACACACACATGTGTACAAATACATATATACATATTTATTGCTACATGTATACATATTTATAACTTCACATATACATATATATGTATTTTTCACATCTGTCTATATCTGTCTGCTTATCATCTATCCATCTCTGTATCCATCTATTTCTATCTATTTATCTATCTATCTCTATCCATCTATCTATCCATCTGTTTCTCTCTCCATCTATACATATTTATCTATCATCTATGTGTCCATCCATTGATCTATATCTATGTATCTATCCCTATCCATCTATCCATATATCTATCCGTACATTTTTCTTTCTCTCCATTTATACTTATCTATCTCTATCTATCTATCTATCTATCTATCATCTATCATCTATGTATCCATCTATTCATCACTGTCTGTCTATGTATCTATCATCTATCTGTCTATTCCTATTCATCTGTTTCTCTCTCCATCTATACATATCTATCTATCAACCAATCTATCTATCTATCATCTGTCTATCTAATCTGGCTATCTATCTATTCCTATCCATCTGTTTCTCTCTCTCCATCTATACATACCTATCTATCTACCTATCTATCATCTATATCTATCATCTACCTATCTATTTATCTATCTATCTCATTTACTCTTCACAGCATGGCTTTGTGTCTTTTATCTTTTATTGCTTCCAACAACACTCTGGGGTATAAACTAGTATCATCCTCATTTTCAGAAGCAGAAACTGAGATGCAGAGAGATGAAGCAACTTGTCCATTTTTTTCTTTGAGTTTATCCTATTGGAACTTTGGGACAGGATCTCTTATATTCTCCAGAGCATCTAGCACCATGCTTGCTTATTAAACAAATGAACACACATGTTAAGTAAATAAGAGAATGTCTCAGGATGCTACTGTCAGATTTTCTTCCAGGCCTATTGCCTGGTTGGGCTCATGCATGTAATGTCAGGGTTGGATATCTTGGCTGCTACGACATATTCCATTTGAGGAATAATTTAGGAGGGTGGCTGAAAGATAAAAATGTCAGTCTGGCTCCTGGTTAACGCGTGTTTCTAATTAAGCCATGATATACAGTGCTCACAGACAAATGCAGTGTGGCTCTAGTGATAACTCACCAAATACTGTGTTGTCTTCATTATCTCATTCCCTGACACTTCCCTGATGAGCTTATAAATCCCTGTGAAATCATGGCCTCCATCTCTTTAATGAGGCCTTTAAAAACTGGGAGAAAAGTATAGCAGCAGATAAGATTGGCTCGACTGTAGACCTACTTCATAAAGGTTTCTCCTCCCCCTAGTGAAACAAACACCATTTGATAGACCCAGGAGTTTAATTCCATGTGAATTGGCCAGGGCATATGATTGAGTTAATTCTTCAAGCAGCAAAAGAATATTAAAAGTAATTTCTGTCTTCTCTGACCTAGTGGGTAACAGAAATAGAAATACTCCTTTGCTCTAGTAAAGAGAAGTGTAGAGGCCAGTGGCTCATGCCTGTAATCTCAGCACTTTGGGAGGCTGAGGAAGGTGGGTCACCTGAGGTGAGGTTCGAGACCAGCCTGGCCAACATGGTGAAACCCCATCTCTACTAAAAATACAAAAATTAGCTGGGCATGGTGGCAGGTGCCTGTAATCCCAGCTACTCAGGAGGCTGAGGCAGGAGAATCACTTGAGAGCCTTGAGACCCTTTTACCAGCCAGTTACCAATGAGCCAAGTTTCCACAGGCATCTTCCAAACAGATCCTCTTACCCTGTGCCTAACATGTTCCTGTTCTGACGCCTCATGCTTGGCATCTTCCTCTGTTTATACTTCTCTTCATGTCCCTTAAACCTAAATTAACCTTTAGTGTTTCATATCCCTAACTTTACTCAAATGACTCTGCAAGAAATTAGGTAAGATTCACACTAGATCTCCTCCTCTTCCTCTGTCTCCTTTTCTTCCTTGTATGCAATCAGGGGATTTTACTATAATTAATCCTCTGGGAACAAATTCCTAACTCCAATCCACTCTATATGATAAACCTACCCAAGCTCCTGTCATGGAAGTGATCAGACAGTTGAATTTTGTACTTCTGATGGTAAACAGTGCATAGTGTATTACTCTGTTTTCATGCTGCTGATAAAGACACACCCGAGACTGGGTACTTTATAAAGAAAAAGAGGTTTATTAGAGTCACAGTTCCATGTGTCTGGGGAAGCCTTACAATCATGGTGCAAGGCCAAAGGCATGTCTTACATGGTGGCATACAAGAGAGAATGAGAGCCAAACAAAAGGGGAAACCCCTTATAAAACCATCAGATCTCATGACACTTATTCACTAC